>NC_000021.9:44391545-44545441 GCF_000001405.40 Homo sapiens
TCACGCAGCCGCTTTATCCCCGGCCCCGGCACAACGACCGGCTGCGGCTCCTGCTGCCCGTTCCCCACGTCAAGCTCAACGTGCGTGCTGGTAACGGGGCCCATCCTGGACTCGTCTTCGCGGGCTACTGCTATGTTCTTAGAGCTCTCTGTTTTTAAAATTAGCTTTTATTTTTATTAGAAAAGACACATGCTCTATCTTAGGCTGCTTGGGCTGCTGTAACAAAATTCCACAGATGGGGCAGAAACTACCAGTTTATTTTCTCGAAGTTCTGGAAGCCCGAAGTCCCAGATTAAGGCACCAGCAGGGCTGGCTTCTGGCCAGGGCCTCTTCTTGCTTGCACGTGGCTGCCCTCTTGCTGTGTCTTCACGTGACAGAGAGAGAAGTCTCTGGTGCCACTTCCTCTTCTTTTTCTTTTATTTATTTTTTATTTTTTTGAGACAGGGTCTCACTCTGTCGTCCAGGCTGGAGTGCAGTGGCGTGATCTTAGCTCACTGCAGCCTCAACCTCCCAGGCTCAAGCAATCCTCCCACCTCAGCCTCCCAAGTAGCTGGGACTACAGGTATGCGCCACCACACCTGGCTAATTTTTTATTTTTTTGTAGAGATGGTTTTGCTATTTTGGACAGGTTGGTCTCAACCTCCTGGCCTCAAGTGATCCGCTCTCCTCACCCTCCAAAAGGCTGGAATTTACACCCTCCAGCCACCGTGCCTTGTCTATTTTTATGTTTGAGACAGGGTCTGGCTCTGTGACCCAGGCTGGAGTGCAGTGGTGCAATCATGGCTCACCGTACCTTCCACCTCCCAGGCTCAAGCAATCCTCCTGCCTCCGTCTCTTGAGTAGCTGGGACTATAGGCATGTGCCACCACACCCAGCTTTTTTTTTTTTTTTATAATATTTTGTTGAGATGGGGTCTCATTATATGGCCCAGGCTGGTCTCAAACTCCGGGGCTCAAGTGATCCTCCTGTCTTGGCCTCCCAAATTGCTGGCATTGCAAGTGTGAGCCTCCGCACCTGGCCTCACCCCTCTTTTTATAAAGAGAACACACCTATCCACTTAGGAACCCACAATGTGGCCTCGTTTAACCTTAATTACCTTCTTAAAGGCCCTATCTCCAAATGCTATAGTCACACTGGGGGTTAGGGCTTCAACATATGAATTTTAGGGGGGACAGAGTTGCGTCCATAACATACCCTTTCTAAAAGTTCCAAACAGTACAAAAGGTTCTGCAGGGAGCGTGATCCCCCTGCCCTGAGCCCCACTGCTGCCCACTGTGTATGCTGGTTTTTTCCGACAGTCAGGTCAGTAACATTCCACCGTATTTTTGTGAGATGCCCAGGGTGCACTGCAGCTGTGGGAGAGTGGATGCTGTAGTCTGCACCCTGTGATTCAATGGGAGCCCTGCTCTAGTCTCACCTTTATTTAATGGTGAGACTGCCCCAGTCTCCAACCTTATTCAAGGGAACCCTGCTCTAATCTCCACCCTTATCCAATGGGAACCCTGCTCTAATCTCCACCCTTATTCAATAGGAACCCTGCCCTAGTCTCCACCCTGATTCAGTGGGAACCCTGCCGTAATCTCCACCCTGATTCAATGAGAATCCTGCCCTAGTCTGTTTACCCTTTTTCAGTGGGAACCTTGCAGTGACTCAATGTCAGGAATGATGCTGGATTTTGTATTTGTATTTCCTCTTGGGAGTATTTATCTCTGATTCATTAAGGTTTTACAAAGCAAAGCATCGATGCCTTTGAGAAGATTGAGCTCCTTTTCTTCTTTGACCTATGAATTTGGTGAATTATTTTAATAGATTTTCTGATAGTGAAACATGTTTTTATCCCTGTTTTGAATTTCAGCTTGGCCTCAGTGCAAGTTTAATATACTGGATTCTCTTGGCAACATTTTCAGGATGTTTGCATCAGAATGCTTAAGGCTTTGATTGCAGTTTTATTTGGGGGGCTATATTTGTCAGGCTCTGATATCAATTTTATGTTAGTTTTGTAAAAACCATTTGGGAAGCTTTCTTTCCTTCTCCGCTCCAGGACAGTTTATGTAGCTGGAGTTAACTACTTCTTATAAGCTTGGTCGACTCCCCTGTGAGTCCATCTGGACCCAGTGCCTTTTTTTTTTAATTGGTAATAGTTCTAGTAACTTTCTCAGTTTCTTTTCTGATTATTTTTCTGTTTAGGTTCTCTATCTCTTCTAAGATCACATTTTTTTTTTTTTCCTGCTAGAAAATTGTCTGTTTCCTCCAGGTTTTCCAATCGATCCATTGTTCCAGGTGAGCTCTGTCTGACTCTTGAGAAAGACATGGGTATGACTTGGTTTCTTTGTTTTTTGTTTTTGAGACAAAGTTTTGCTCTTGTTGCCCAGGCTGGAGTGCAATGGTATAATCTCTGCTTACTGCAACCTCTGCCTCCTGGGTTCAATTGAGTCTCTTGCCTAAGCCTCCCAAGTAGCTGGGATTACAGGCGCCCACCACCATGCCCAGCTAATTTTTTGTATTAGTAGAGATGGAGTTTCACCATGTTGGCCAGGCTGATCTGGATCTCCTGACCTTAGGATCCACCCATCTTGGCCTCCCAAAGTGCTGGGATTACAGGCGTGAGCCACCGTGCCAGGCCGGGTATGGCTTGGTTTTATACATTCACGATCTGCACTTCTTAAGTCCAGTGCGTTTATTTAAGACGCTCAGTTGGAATATGCTTAGGAAGGTCCAAAGCAGAATCTCAAGCTTATCTGTACCTGTGGTTTAGGAAGAAAAACACATTTCTTTTTTTTTTTTTTTTTTTTGAGATGGAGTCTTGCTCTGCTGCCCAGGCTGGAGTGTAGTGGCGCAATCTTGGCTCACTGCAACCTCCACCTCCTGGGTTCAGGCCATTGTCTTGCCTCAGCCTTCCGAGTAGCTGGGACTACAGGTGTCCGCCACCACGCCTGGCTAATTTTTTGTATTTTTAGTAGAGATGGGGTTTCACTGCGTTAGCCAGGATGGTCTCGATCTCCTGACCTCGTGATACTCCCGCCTTGGCCTCCCAAATTGCTGGGATTACAGGCGTGAGCCACCGTGCCAGGCCGGGTATGGCTTGGTTTTATACATTCACAATCTGCGCTTCTTAAGTCCAGTGCGTTTATTTAAGACACTCAGTTGGAATATGCTTAGGAAGGTCCAAAGCAGAAGCTCAGGCTTATCTGTACCTGTGGTTTAGGAAGAAAAACACATTTCTTTATAATGAAAAACCTTCAGGAAATTTCTAGGATCACTTGAGGTGTGTTTTGTACAGTATGTGATGTGGGAGATGGTTTTTTTTCTACTTCTGGGGAGCGTTTCCCAGCTACCTGAGTACGTGTTTCCTGGTCCGGGGAAAAGCCTAGCCATGCAGGGAGGTGGGTCTGGGCAAGGTGCCCTGTGCTTGCTCGTGAGTGAGCCATATTGCCCACCTGACAGATCTTTCCTAGTGGCCTCTCTGCCAGAGACACTGCAGGAGAGTCCCTCAGGGAGAAGACAGTCACTGACCTATTAACATACTCCACTGTGCTAGAATTTTGCTTCGTTGAAAGCAGCTTTGATGCCATCAGATAAGACTGGGGAACTTGAAGTGCCTGGCATGAAACAAGAGTCTACACATGTTGGTAAAGGAGTTAGACGGGCGTTTCACTTTCTAGATGTCTCCAGAACAGTGTTTTAAAAAACTTCAGTGTGCATAAGAATGATCTAGGGTGTTGCTGAAAATGCAGGTTGTAGTTCTCCAGGGACAGTGAGATCCTGAGAAGGTCGGGGCTGGGGTCAGGGCCTGCACCTCTGACAGGCTCCGCCAGTGACTCTGAGCCAGGCGGCCCGGCTGGGGCTCTGACAGTTCACTGCTCACCAGGTGCAGGGAGTGAGCCTCCGGTCCCTCTACAAGCGTTCCTCAGGCCATGTGACCTTCACCATGGACCCCATCCGTGACCTTCTCATTTGGGCCATTGTCCAGAACCGTCGGGAGCTGGCAGGAATCATCTGGGCTCAGGTAATAAGACTGGCTTCTCAGTCTCAGCAGACACAGCTATAGGCCAGCGGCCAGCTGGGGAGTGTGGCTGGAGAGAGTGGCTGGAGAGCCTGAGGCCAAGTGCACGTGGAGGCTGTGGAGGGGTGTGGAGGGGTGTGGAGGGCTGTGGAGGATGTGGAGGGGTGTGGAGGGCTGTGGAGGGATGTGGAGGCTGTGGAGGGGTGTGGAGGGGTGTGGAGGGCTGTGGAGGATGTGGAGGGGTGTGGAGGGCTGTGGAGGGATGTGGAGGCTGTGGAGGGGTGTGGAGGGGTGTGGAGGGCTGTGGAGGATGTGGAGGGGTGTGGAGGGCTGTGGAGGGGTGTGGAGACTGTGGAGGGGTGTGGAGGCTGTGGAGGGGTGTGGAAGCTGTGGAGGGGTGTGGAGGGGTGTGGAGGGCTGTGGAGGATGTGGAGGGGTGTGGAGGGCTGTGGAGGGATGTGGAGGCTCTGGAGGGGTGTGGAGGGCTGTGGAGGCTGTGGAGGGGTGTGGAGGGCTGTGGAGGGATGTGGAGGCTGTGGAGGGGTGTGGAGGGCTGTGGAGGGGTGTGGAGACTGTGGAGGGGTGTGGAGGCTGTGGAGGGGTGTGGAGGCTGTGGAGGGGTGTGGAGGCTGTGGAGGGGTGTGGAGGCTGTGGAGGGGTGTGGAGGCTGTGGAGGGGTGTGGAGGGGTGTGGAGGGCTGTGGAGGGGTGTGGAGGGGTGTGGAGGGCTGTGGAGGGATGTGGAGGGCTGTGGAGGCTGTGGAGGGGTGTGGAGGATGTGGAGGGGTGTGGAGGGCTGTGGAGGGATGTGGAGGGGTGTGGAGGGGTGTGGAGGGGTGTGGAGGGCTGTGGAGGGATGTGGAGGCTTGTGGAGGGCTGTGGAGGGATGTGGAGGCTGTGGAGGGGTGTGGAGGGGTGTGGAGGGGTGTGGAGGCTGTGGAGGGATGTGGAGACTGTGGAAGGGTGTGGAGGCTGTGGAGGGGTGTGGAGGCTGTGGAGGGGTGTGGAGGCTGTGAAGGGGTGTGGAGGCTGTGGAGGGGTGTAGAGGGGTGTAGAGGGTTGTGGAGGCTGTGGAGGGGTGTGGAGGGCTGTGGAGGGGTGTGGAGGGGTGTGGAGGCTGTGGAGGGGTGTGGAGGGTTGTGGAGGGGTGTGGAGGGGTGTGGAGGCTGTGGAGGGGTGTGGAGGGATGTGGAGGGATGTGGAGGGGTGTGGAGGGGTGTGGAGGGGTGTGGAGGCTGTGGAGGGGTGTGGAGGGATGTGGAGGGGTGTGGAGGGGTGTGGAGGCTGTGGAGGGGTGTGGAGGGATGTGGAGGGGTGTGGAGGGCTGTGGAGGGGTGTGGAGGGCTGTGGAGGGGTGTGGAGGGGTGTGGAGGGGTGTGGGGGGTTGTGGAGGGCTGTGGAGGCTGTGGAGGGTTGTGGGCGTCTCCAACACTGGGAAGGACTTGGGGCACCTGGAGTTGGAGAACAAAGAACTTAGCTCTAGGCAGGAAAGGAATTTTTTTTTTTTTTGAGACGGAGTCTTGCTCTGTTGCCCAGGCTGGAGTGCAGTGGCACAATCTCGGCTCACTGCAACCTCTGCCTACCGTGTTCAAGCGATTCTCCTGCCTCAGCCTCCTGAGTAACTAGAACAACAGGCATGTGCCACCACGCCTGGCTAATTTTTTATAATTTAGTAGAGATGGGGTTTCACCATATTGGCCAGGCTGGTCTCGAACTCCTGACCTCATGATCCGCCTGCCTCGGCCTTCCAAAGTGCTGGGATTACAGGCGTAAGCCACTGCATCCGGCCCAGGAAAGGAATTTTTAAATTAAAAGTTCTGCTAAAAAAAACTGGTTCTGTGGTTATGTCCAGGGCCGAGTCTCACTGGGCACGCACAGGCCGGGTGGTGCCGCCCTCTGCAGCTCACACGGGTTCCGATGGGGGCTGGTGCATGTGCTGGGCCCGTGCTGTCCGTCAGGCTTTGCAGGGCAAGCAGACCCCTCCCACAGGCCACGCAGGAGCCTGGGCCATCATCAGAGGTTGTGTATTGACTGGGGTGGGGCTTAAGTTGTCTGTATAGATGTGGTCACACACAGTGATTGCCCAGTGGCCCGCACTGTCCCCGGGCCTCGTTTTCATCACCTGGGGCAGTGTGTTGGGTTCCTCAGGCTGGGTTGAGCCTGGCTCTTTAGTCTCACGGTGGCTCCTCTGGTCCCCAGAGCCAGGACTGCATCGCAGCGGCCTTGGCCTGCAGCAAGATCCTGAAGGAACTGTCCAAGGAGGAGGAGGACACGGACAGCTCGGAGGAGATGCTGGCGCTGGCGGAGGAGTATGAGCACAGAGCCATCGGTGAGCTCTGCCGGGCACGGGCTGCAGGCCATGGCTCAGCCGTGCATGCCCTCACCTGGAGTTCCCATCCCTGGGTCTCAGCCCCATGTGCCCTCACCCTGGGGTCCTCGTCCCTGGGCCTCAGCCCTGCACGCTTACCCTGGGGTCCTCATCCCGGAGTCTCGGCCCTGTAACCACCCAGTGGGTTCGTCTTGCCTGCTGCTCAGATAGAGCCCATTTGTTAAGACAGCGAGATTGCAATAGAGAAAGAGTTTAATTCACACAGAGCCGGCTGAATGGGAAGCTGGAGTTTCATCACCCAAATCAGTCTCCCTGAAAATTTGGAGACTGTTTTTTTTTTTTGAGATGGAGTGTCGCTCTGTTGCCCAGGCTGGAGTGCAATGGCACAATCTCGGCTCACTACACCCTCTGCCCTCTGGATTCAAGCGATTCTCCTGTCTCAGCCTCCCGAGTAGCTGGGATTACAGCTGCCTGCCACCACAACTGGCTAATTTTTGTATTTTTAATAGAGATGGGGTTTCATCATATTGGTCAGGCTGGTCTCAAACTCCTAACCTCAGATGATCCGCCCACCTCGGCCTCCCAAAGTGCTGGGATTACAGGCGTGAACCACCACGCCTGGTGAGACTGGGGTTTTTTAAGGATAATTTGGTGGGTAGGGGGCCAGGCAGCGGGGAGTACTGATTGGTTGGGCCAGAGATGAAATCACAGCGGGTCAAAGTGGGTTCTTCTCACTGTCTACTATTCATGATCACAGGGGTCGAAGTGGGTTCTTCTCGCTGTCTGCTGTTTCTGCGTGTGGTCACAGAACTGGTTGCACCAGATCTCCAGTCGGGGTGGCGTCAGTGAAGCATCAGAATGCAGGCTTTCAAAATATCCTGGGTTTTCCAATAGTGATGATATTCCTAGGAAGAGTTGGGGAGGTTTGGAATCTTGTGGCCTCTGGCTGCGTGACTCCTAAACCATAATTTCTAATTTGTGGCTACTTTGTTAGTCTTACAAACGCAGACTGCTCCCAGGCAAGAAGGGGGTTCGTTTCGGGAAAGGGCCGCTATCATCTCTGTTTGGAAGTTAAACTATAAACGAAGTTCCTCTCAAAGTTAGTGTGGCCTATGCCCAGGAATGGACAAGGGCAGCTTGGAGGTTAGAGGCAAGATGGAGTCCATTAGGTCAGTTCTCGGTCCCTGTCTGAGTTTTCTCCCTGTTGTCATTTTTGTAGAGGCAGTTCCAGCCCTACGTGCCCTCTCCCTGGGGTCCTCGTCCCTGGGCCTGGGTGTTTTGAGACACCAGCCCCACATTTGCCCTGTGCCCTTCCCTGTGTCCTGGTGGTGCTGTCCCGAGTGGTTGCCCTCTGACCCGTCCCCAGGGCTCAGTGATTGTGACCTGCTGCTCTGACGGGGCTCTCATATCTCCGCCCAGGGGTCTTCACCGAGTGCTACCGGAAGGACGAAGAGAGAGCCCAGAAACTGCTCACCCGCGTGTCCGAGGCCTGGGGGAAGACCACCTGCCTGCAGCTCGCCCTGGAGGCCAAGGACATGAAGTTTGTGTCTCACGGGGGCATCCAGGTGACCTCCCAAGAGCCCCTTCCAGAAACAGACGCCTGTGGTGCCTGCAGGGCGGACACAGCCTCCTGTTCGTGCAGTTGGCACGCACACTCACACAGGCTTCAGGGCCCTCAGCAGCTCGGGGACAGCGCCTGACCCCTCGGCCACCTGCTCCAGGCTCTGGCCTCCCATTTTGCAGATGGGGGGAAGCTAACATGAAGCAAAAGCAGGAGCTGGTGGCCATGGAGATCGCAATTCACCTCCCCATGGATGTTCCTACCTGGGAGCGGCAGGCAGAAGCCCAGGTGGCTCTGGGAACGGCGTCTGCCCTCTCTCCCTGGAGGGATAAGCGGGACACGGCGTGTCCTCCCTGGAGCAGCAGGGGCTCCCAGGCATGGCTGCCCTCAGCATCGCCCTGGAACCCCCGGCAGGGCCTGGCTCCCAGCGAGTGCCCCTTGCACGCTGGGCTTCCTTGGAGCGCCGAGCTATTGCCAAGTCCATGAGCTCCCGTCATGTCCTGGGCTGTGCCAGGCCTAGGGAGGCCTGGGGAAGGGTCCTGTCCCCCACTGCAGAGCTCAGAGGGGCCAGTGCTCTACAGCCTGCAACTGCGGGGCCTTCGAAGCCAGCAGAGATGGGGTCCCATAGCTTGAGGTCAGGTGAAAGGCGGGATTGGACACCCAAAGCCCCAGGGCAAGCTCTGTGTCTTCACCACTTTCTGCTGTGAGACTGCAGGCTAGCTCTGTCCACTAGGCACCCCGAGTCCTCAGCAGACAGCTGACGGGCACCATCTGGGGCACAGGGCTGGGCACTGCCATCCTGAGACTGCCCCCATCCGCAGGCCTTCCTGACCAAGGTGTGGTGGGGCCAGCTCTCCGTGGACAATGGGCTGTGGCGTGTGACCCTGTGCATGCTGGCCTTCCCGCTGCTCCTCACCGGCCTCATCTCCTTCAGGTGCTGCAGGGCTGCGGGGCTGCGGGACTGTGGGGCTGCGGGGCTGCGGGAGAGGCTCCTGGGGGCTCAGGATCTTCCCTAGATCCCCTCGCTGGGAGCAAGTCATGTGTCCTCAGAATTGTCCCTGGATCCTGGGGCTGTAGAGATGGGGGTGGGAAGCAGAGCAGGGCCCCACGTGCTGGAAGCACCTGCCTTGCCCCAGCCCCAGCACTGATCTCATGATGCTGATGAGCCCGTCCCTCAGCCACATCAGCCTGGGGTTGGGGAGGCCAGGAAAGATGGTCTCCTGCTCCTGCCGGCACTGTAGACCTGAGCCAGTCTGCGGCGTGGGCAGTTAGTGCAGGTCTGGGATGCGAGCAGCGAGCTGCGGCTGAGTGCCTCCCTGTCCTCGCAGCCGCAGAGCCTGTATTGATGGAATCGCTTTCCCTTATGAAGGAGGAGGACACGGCTGGCCATGGTTGAAGACCTGGCCTGGCCTGGTGTCCCCACCTGCACCTCCTCAGAGGCTTGCTGGGGCGTTGTGGGATCTGCTGTGTTTTACTGAGGGCTGGATGGAGGCTCAGGGTCTCCTGGGAGTCAGGGCAGATTCAAGACCCCAGCGAGGTGGCTGAGCCCCTTCTGCAACCCGCAGTCCACACTGCCTGCCTCCTTCCCTTTCTCCTCACGGCCAGGATGGGTACTTGAGTGTTCAGGAATCCTGGTGGGAAACTGAGGCAGGGAGGAGCGGCTCAGGTGTCCTAAAGCAGTGCTGGCTTCTCTCCTGCTCTCCCGAGGATGGCAGAGCCGTGTCACTGATGGCCGCCTCTGCTCCCGTTCCAGCGGCCCGGGGATAGGGACCTGGGATCAGGGCACACCACAGGGGGAGTGTGGTCAGCCCCACCCCCATTGAGGACGGCAAGGAAAGCCTGTCCCCATTTACAGGAGGGTGACTAAGGCCTGAGCGTCCACTGAGCACTGGGAGCTCTGAAGCTGGGGCCCACCCAAGGCTGGGCTTGGGGCAGGCTGGGCCTCCCTGTTTGCAGCCATTAAGGTCATGGCCATGGGCAGGGCGTCAGCGGGCATCCCTGTGTCCTCACTTTGCTGGGCTGTGGGGTCCAGCCCCACCCCGGTGGCTGTGTGTGAGGCTCCCAGGCTGTGCTGTGCCGGCTCCGCCTGTAGCTGCCGTTATGGCCCCGGATCCCTGAGTGCTTTTGCCTCTAAAAGCACATCTCTCTGAGGGGCACGGGGGATCACGGGGTGGCCAAAGCCTGTGGAGGTCAGGACCCTGGCCCTGGTGGTCACTGTCTCCTCTCTGCTGTGACGGCCGCAGGGAGAAGAGGCTGCAGGATGTGGGCACCCCCGCGGCCCGCGCCCGTGCCTTCTTCACCGCACCCGTGGTGGTCTTCCACCTGAACATCCTCTCCTACTTCGCCTTCCTCTGCCTGTTCGCCTACGTGCTCATGGTGGACTTCCAGCCTGTGCCCTCCTGGTGCGAGTGTGCCATCTACCTCTGGCTCTTCTCCTTGGTGTGCGAGGAGATGCGGCAGGTACAGCCCCACCCGCTTTTCCACGCCCCAGCCCGGGGCCACCCACTTGGCTGCATTCTCATAGGGGACCCATGGCTTAGAGCCCACCCCATCTAGCCTGCCCAGCTCCCTGCAAGCTGAGCAGAGCCGGTGTTTCCTCCCCAAAATGGGTGGCTGGGGCGCTGCCCTCCAAGCCCCTCCCTCCTCATGCCCCCTGCGCCTGCTTCCCTGCTTTCCCTCGGCCCAGGCATCCTTCCCTCCTGGAGACCGGCTGATCAGCTCAAGGTGGATGCCCTGACCTTGTGGACTATGAGTATGTCCCTTCCCCCAGGAAGAGCAGTGCAAGGTGTGGGGTCCCTAAGACCCCTCTCACGTTCAATAACGAGCCAGAAGGACCCACAGACGCTGGGGAGTGGCAATGCTCACTTATGGTTTATTAAGCAACAGTCTACAGACTAAACCAGCCAGGGGGAGGGACGCAGCTGCATCCAGGACAGCTCTGAGCCCAGGGCATCCGGCCAGTCCCTCCCTGTGGAGGTGTGGGTGGCACTCCATCCTCCCGGTGATGATGTGTGGCCTCATGCATGGAGGCACGTCCCCAGAGAGGCTCGCGGGCCTTGGTGTCTACTGGAGGTCAGTCACAGAGGCGAGGCTGACACCACATGGTTGACCTCAGTCTCCAGCCCTCCAAAGGTCAAACTGAAAACTGCCCGGGGCCCCACCCCAAATCACACTGTGGGACCACCTGGCATGGCCCAGGCCCCAGGAACAAAGACACCCTCATCAGGCGGACATTCCAAGGGCTCAGAGGCTATCTCCCTGGAGCTGGGCGAGGCCAAGCTGCCCCCCAGGTGGGGCGAATCCCTTACTGTGTGGGGTCTCCACTGTGCCCCCACGGTGCCTGCACCTGCTGGCAGCCGGTGAATGGGAACTAGGTCCTTGGAACCCTCAGGGCAGTGGTGAGGGGGTGGGGTCAGCCCACGGGGCAGTGGTCCTGGCTTAGACTTACCTCTGCTCTCTAACCTTGGTGGACCACCAGGCCCCCAGTTACCCCAGTTAGAAAGCAGTGTGCACTGTGTAAATACCACTGCCTACTGGGGCCCTGGGGGAGGCACCGGCGTCCCCAGGAAGGAAGATCAGGTCCAGGACTTGGCGGGGCCTGGGAGCTGTGCTGTGGCCCTGGCTCTGCTGGGCTCTCCTTGGCTCTCCTCTTGCCACAGGGCTTCTGCCACCAGACCCTCTCTACAAGGGGCCAGAGGCCTCCATGCACCCCCAGCCCCAGCCCCATGGGCAGCAGCCTGAGAGCAGAGGGGGCACTTCCTTCTCCCTGCATCTGTCTGTGATCCAGGGAGGGCCCTGGTTGGTCCTGCTGGTCACCTGCCCCACCTGTCCAGCTGCTGGGTCCTGGGGCCTGGGGCTAGGGAGGGTGTGGGGACTCCTGCCAAGTAGGCCAAATGGGGGCTCCCACAGCCCCTGCCAGGTCCTGCACTCTTGGCCTGCTAAAGAAACAGTGTGGCCCCTGACAGAACAAAGATCCTTGTGGGAAGGCAGCTGGCGCCTGACATTGAGGGCGCTGCTCCAACACACACACACATGCACACACATGCATACACATACAGGTACATGCACACACATGTACACATGCACACAAATGCACACACACATAGGCACACACACATACATACATGCATATGTACACACATACATGCACACACATGCACACAGTACACACATAGGCACACACATTCATGCATATGTATACACACATGCACACATGCACACACATGCATACACACATGCATACACATACATGCACACATATACACATGCATACACACATATGCATGGACACACATACATGCATATAGAGATGCACACACATGCATACACATATACATGCATGCACACATACAAATATACACAGATAAACACATGTATACACATGCACACACATGCATACACACATTACACGTGTGCATACACACAAATATACACATACATACACATGCACATACATATACAGCACACACATGCATACACACATACACATGTACACAATATACACATACACATATGCACACATACATACACACATGCACATACACATGCATACACACATACACATACACACATGCACATACACAAATATACACATCACCCAAGCACATATACACATATACATACATATGCACATGAACAAACATGTACACACATACACACACATATATACATATGCACACATGAATGAACATACACATATGAACACACACATACAGACACATACACATATATACACATGCACACACAAAAACATGCAAATACACATATACACAGAGACACACAGATACACATACACATGCACACACACAAACATGCATACATACACAATACATGCAAATGTATGTGCATACACATATACATGCACACATACATGCACATACACATATACACACATGCATACACATACAAATACATGCAGACACATACAGAATGCACACATACATACACACACATATGTGCACACATACATATTCACACGTATACACACATACATGCAGAATATATGTACATACACATATATGCACACACAGGTGCTGAGTGAGCAGGGGGCCGAGGTAGCTGCTGCCAGCGCTATTCTGCATTGTTCCTCCACGTCCTGTTCCCATCTCCCTCACTGACCCAGCTCTCTTCAGATCAGAACCAATGTTCGGATTTGCTGACCGTGATGATAGTGATGATAGTGATAGTGATGATAGTGACAGTGATGATAGTGACGGTGATAGTGATGATAGTGACAGTGACTGTGATTGTGATGATGATAGTGGATAGTGATATGACAGCGATGGTGACAGCAAGGATAGTGATGATAGTGACAGTGATAGTGATGATAGTGACAGTGACTGTGATGATAGTGGATAGTGATATGACAGTGATGGTGACAGCAAGGGTAGTGATGATAGTGACAGTGATAGTGATGATAGTGACAGTGACTGTGATGATAGTGGATAGTGATATGACAGTGATGGTGACAGCAAGGATAGTGATGATAGTGACAGTGATAGTGATGATAGTGACAGTGACTGTGATGATAGTGGATAGTGATATGACAGTGATGGTGACAGCAAGGGTAGTGATGATAGTGACAGTGATAGTGATGATAGTGACAGTGACTGTGATGATGATAGTGGATAGTGATGTGACAGTGACAGTGAGGATAGTAAGAGTGACAACCTGTCTGCCTTCCTACCGCCCCTCTTCCCAGTAGCTCTTCTATGACCCTGACGAGTGCGGGCTGATGAAGAAGGCAGCCTTGTACTTCAGTGACTTCTGGAATAAGCTGGACGTCGGCGCAATCTTGCTCTTCGTGGCAGGGCTGACCTGCAGGTGAGTGGCCTCACCCCGATGGCGGGCCCGTCTGAGGCAGCCAGCCCTGCAGGGGATGAGCACAGGCCGGGCCCAGAACCAGCCACACCGGGTGAGGCTCAGCTCGTCTGTGAACCCTGGATTGTCATCTGTCCAATGGGTGTCCAGGCAACAGCGCCCCACCTACCCTTGGGATTGTTGAGGGAGCACAGAAGGGGCATGAGAGCTCCTGGCAGAGCTGAGATTGTCCATGTGCAAGGGGCCATAGATGGCAACCTCTGGAATTGTCCCAGCTCCACGGACACGCGGCTGCCGCTTTCTCCCTCTGCCTCCCTACTGTGGGCTCACTGCACTGCCTGTGATGCTCTCGTGTCTCTGCGAGGCCGCGGCCCCCTTTCTCGGAGGCAATAGGGCCCTGGCTAACTGCTGGCTCTCCAGGTGCCCCCATGCCAGGCTGCCCTGTGGGGCTGGGCGTCTGAAGAAAAGTGGGAGGCTCTATTCCTCAATCTCATGCCAGCTTTGAACACCTGGGATGCAGGGCCCACCAGAGCCCTTTGCCTCCAGGGCCCACCTGGGCTAGGACAGGTGGAGGGGCGACGGGGGACAGCTCTGGGGGCTGCTGTGAGCAGGTGGCTGAGATGTGTGTGCTTCTGCCCGGCGGCCAGGCTCATCCCGGCGACGCTGTACCCCGGGCGCGTCATCCTCTCTCTGGACTTCATCCTGTTCTGCCTCCGGCTCATGCACATTTTTACCATCAGTAAGACGCTGGGGCCCAAGATCATCATTGTGAAGCGGATGGTAAGGGGGCGGGGGCACCGGCTCCATCGCGGCCTGCAGCCCAGGGTGGGCCTCGGGGAGGGCAGGCCCCTTGCCAGTGGCTCGGACTGGGGCTTAAACACACCTGTAGGTTCCCCGTCCCTGCTTTGCCCCTTGGGCTCCCAAGAATGCCCTTCTCGTATCTTTGCCTGTACGTCACCTCTTCCAGGAAGCCTTCCCTCATTCTCCCCTCTGATCCCCACTCATTCCTGGCCTCTGATTCAGCTCTAGGAGCTTTCCTCCTTGGTCACGGTTATGTCTGACCGCACTCATTCCTGGCCTCTGATTCAGCTCTAGGAGCTTTCCTCCTTGGGTCACGGTTATGTCTGACCCCTCTTGCACTTTGTGGTGCTAGCACAAAGATGTCGGCAGTCCACGAGGGTGTGGGGGCAGCCCCAGGACTGCTCCTGGGAGCCTCCTGCATGCCGTGTCTGTGCTGTGAGTGGCAGTGCTGTCTCCACCGCTGCTGGGCCTGCCTCTGGGCCCAGTGAGCATCGGGGGCCAGGAGAGTGTAGCCCACACACTCTCTGTCCTGCAGATGAAGGACGTCTTCTTCTTCCTCTTCCTGCTGGCTGTGTGGGTGGTGTCCTTCGGGGTGGCCAAGCAGGCCATCCTCATCCACAACGAGCGCCGGGTGGACTGGCTGTTCCGAGGGGCCGTCTACCACTCCTACCTCACCATCTTCGGGCAGATCCCGGGCTACATCGACGGTAGGAGCCGGGCGCCATGGGAGCTCGGGTGGTGCTGCCGGGAAGCAGGAGAGAGGCTGGAAAGGGGCCGCATGAGTGGGAGTGAGGCCGGCTCCATCAGGGGGTCCTGCGGTTCCCACCTGGCCGGTGTCCTCCCTGGGGGCATTCATTCCCCAGCTCCTGTGGCAGGAAGTAGAAGGGGCCCCACCAGGGGAGGGAGGAGGGGGGCCTGGTGGGGGTGAGTGGTGCCACGCAGAGGTCAGAGTGGGCCGAGGGCACCTGGGGCATCAGCTGACAGCCCCCTGAAATGGAATGTCACCCTGTATCCCCTTTCCCTCTCACCTCAATCAGAAATAACTTCCTTCTTCTCTTGATGGAAATAATTCATTCCTCCCTTCCTCCCTTCCTTCCTTCCATTTTTTGACAGGGTTTTGCTCTGTCACCCAGGCTGGAGTGCAGTGGCACGTCCACCTCCTGCGCTCAAGTCCTCCTCCCACCCGTCTGCTGAGTAGCTGGGACTGCATGTGCACGCCAACACACCCGGCTAATTTTTGTATTTTTTGTAGAGATGGGGGTTTCAGCATGTGGCCCAGGCTAGTATCGAACTCTTGAGCTCAAGTGATCCACCCCCTTGGCCTCCCAAAGTGCTGAGATTACAGGCGTGAGCCACCATGCCTGCCAGAGAGAACACTTTTCATATAGAAGGTTTTTTTTTTTTTTTTTTTTTTTTTTAACAGCTTCATTGAGAGAAATTTCACCTGGATAAAGTGCACCTGTCAGTGGTTTTCAGTATCTTTACAGAATCTAACTTTATAACATCTGCATCACCCTGAAAAGACCCTGCATACTCACAGTCACTCCCGTTCCCCTCCCCTCAGCCACAGCCACCCACGAAGCTACTTGTGAGCTGCCTTTTCTGGGCGTTTCATAGAAACTGGATGATGTAATAGGCAGTCTTTGGTGTCTGACTTCTTTCACTTGATGTCCCGTTTTCAAGGTTTGTCACCGTGTATCAGTATTTACTTCCCGTTTATGGCTGAAGAGGACCCCGCTGTGTGGACACACCACATTTTGTTCATCCATTCATCAGTTGGTGGACATATGGGTTGTTTCCACTTTTCCTTTTTTTTAAAAAAAATTAATATTTAATTTTTTAATTAAAAAATTTTAAATTAATTAATATTTAATTTTTTTTTTCCCCTAGAGGGAGTCTCGCTCTGTTTTCTTTTTCCCGAGAGGGAGTCAGGCCAAAGTGCAGTGGCACAATCTTGGCTCACTGCGACCTCCACCTCCTGGGTTCAAGCAATTCTCCTGCCTCAGCCTCCCGAGTAGCTGGGATTACAGGCACCTGCTACCACGCTTGGCTAATTTTTGTATTTTTTTGTAGAGATGGGGTTTCACCATGTTGGACAGGCTGGTCTTGAACTCCTGACCTCAGGTGATCCACCCGCCTCGGCCTCCCAAAGTGCTGGGATGACAGGTGTGAGCTACCGCGCAGGGCCGTTTCCACTTTTCACATGCTGTGAATAACGTAGCATGAACAGTTATTTACAGGGTTTTGTGTGGGTATGTTTTTATTTCTCTTAGACACCTAGGAATGCACGGCTGGCTCATATGGGAACTCCATGTTTAAGTTTTTGTGGACGTGCTGGGCTGTTTTCCAAAGAACCGGCCGCATTCCACATTCCTGCCTGCCCAGTCCCAGGATTCCAATTTCTCTACCTTCTTGTCAACATTTGTTATTGTCCATTAAAAAAACAAAGCTCGCATCCCGGTGGGTGAGAAGTGGCTCTCCTTGTCGCTTTGACGGGCATTTCTCTAAGGACCCGCCATGCTGAGCATCTCCTCCTCTGCTAACCTCGTCGTCTGTAAGTCTTCTTTCAAGAAATGTCTCTCCCTCTCCTTTGCCCTTTTTTTTTTTTTTTTTTTTTCCGACAGGGTCTCGCTCTGTCACCCAGGCTGGAATGCAGTGGTGCGATCTCAGCTCACTGCAACCTCTGCCTCCCGGGCTCAAGTGATTCTCCTGCCTCAGCCTCCCGAGTAGCTGGGACTACAGGCGCACGCCACCACGCCTGGCTAATTTTTGTATTTTTAGTAGATACAGAGTTTCACCATGTTGGCCAGGCTGGTCTCGATCTCCTGACCTCGTGATCCACCCGCCTTGGCCTCCCAAAGTGCTGGCATTACAGGCATAAGCCACTGCCCCCAGCCATCTTTGCCCATTTTTCAATTGAGTTGTCTTTTATATTATTGAGTTGTCTTTTATATTATTGAGTCGTAAGAGTTCTTTACGTAAGGATGCCAGTCTCTTACCAAAGGTATGATTTGAATTTTTTTTGTCAATCTGTGCACTGACTTGTTATTTTCTTTATGGTGTCATTTGATGCACGAGCTTTTGAAATTTTGATGATGTTCAACTTATCAATCTCTTTGATCATTGTGCTTTTGGTGTCCTAGCGAAAACCATTGCCGTGATTTATGCCTGTGTTCTACTAAGTGTTTTATAGCTTTCGCTTTTTGTTTGCCCTGGTGTGCGGTAAGGGTCAGTCTTCGTTGTGGCTCTCCTGTTGTCCCAGCACTATTTGTTGACAAGACTGTTGTTTCCCCAGTGAAGCATCTTGGCATCCTTGTTGAAAATCAGTGGACCATTAACATAAGGGCTTATTTCTAGAGTCTCAGTTTGACTCCACTGATGTCTGTCCTTGTGCCAGAACCACACTGTCTTGGTGAGCATAGCCTTGTAGTAAGTTTTGACCGCACTGTCTTGGTTGGCGTAGCCTTGTAGTAAGTTTTGATCGTGCTGTCTTGGTTGGCATAGCCTTGTAGTAAGTTTTGACCGCACTGTCTTGGTTGGCGTAGCCTTGTAGTGAGTTTTGACTGCACTGTCTTGGCGTAGCCTTGTAGTAAGTTTTGACTGCACTGTCTTGGTGTAGCCTTGTAGTGAGTTTTGACCACACTGTCTTGGTTGGCGTAGACTTGTAGTAAGTTTTGACCACACTGTCTTGGTGTAGCCTTGTAGTAAGTTTTGACTGCACTCTCTTGGTTGGCATAGCCTTGTAGTAAGTTTTGACCGCACTGTCTTGGTGAGCGTAGCCTTGTAGTAAGTTTTGACCACACTGTCTTGGCGTAGACTTGTAGTAAGTTTTGACCGCACTGTCTTGGCGTAGCCTTGTAGTAAGTTTTGATCGTGCTGTCTTGGTTGGCGTAGCCTTGTAGTAAGTTTTGACCTCACTCTCTTGGTTGGCGTAGCCTTGTAGTAAGTTTTGACCTCACTGTCTTGGTTGGCGTAGCCTTGTAGTAAGTTTTGATCGCGCTGTCTTGGTGAGCGTAGCCTTGTAGTAAGTTTTGACCACACTGTCTTGGTGAGCGTAGCCTTGTAGTAAGTTTTGACCGCACTGTCTTGGTGAGCGTAGCCTTGTAGTAAGTTTTGATCGCGCTGTCTTGGTTGGCATAGCCTTGTAGTAAGTTTTGACCGCACTGTCTTGGTTGGCGTAGCCTTGTAGTGAGTTTTGACTGCACTGTCTTGGCGTAGCCTTGTAGTAAGTTTTGACTGCACTGTCTTGGCGTAGCCTTGTAGTAAGTTTTGACCACACTGTCTTGGTTGGTGTAGCCTTGTAGTAAGTTTTGACCACACTGTCTTGGTGTAGCCTTGTAGTAAGTTTTGACTGCACTCTCTTGGTTGGCATAGCCTTGTAGTAAGTTTTGACCGCACTGTCTTGGTGAGCGTAGCCTTGTAGTAAGTTTTGACCGCACTGTCTTGGCGTAGACTTGTAGTAAGTTTTGACCGCACTGTCTTGGCGTAGCCTTGTAGTAAGTTTTGATTGTGCTGTCTTGGTTGGCGTAGCCTTGTAGTAAGTTTTGACCGCACTGTCTTGGTTGGCGTAGCCTTGTAGTAAGTTTTGACCTCACTGTCTTGGTGAGCGTAGCCTTATAGTAAGTTTTGACCACACTGTCTTGGTGAGCGTAGCCTTGTAGTAAGTTTTGACCACACTGTCTTGTTGAGCGTAGCCTTGTAGTAAGTTTTGACCACACTGTCTTGGTGAGCGTAGCCTTGTAGTAAGTTTTGACCGCACTGTCTTGGTGAGCGTAGCCTTGTAGTAAGTTTTGACCGCACTGTCTTGGTGAGCGTAGTCTTGTAGTAAGTTTTGACTGCACTGTCTTGGTTGGCGTAGCCTTGTAGTAAGTTTTGACCTCACTGTCTTGGTGAGCGTAGCCTTATAGTAAGTTTTGACCACACTGTCTTGGTGAGCGTAGCCTTGTAGTAAGTTTTGACCGCACTGTCTTGGTTGGCGTAGCCTTGTAGTAAGTTTTGACCGTGCTGTCTTGGTGAGCGTAGCCTTGTAGTAAGTTTTGAAATTCGGAAGTGTGAGTCCTAATTTGTTCTTTTCCAGGATTGCTTTGGCCTCTGGGTCCCTTGGCTTCACAAGAATTTTTGGATCAGCTCATCAATTTCTCCAAAAAGGGCATCTGTGATTTTGATTGTGAACATGGGATGTCTTTTTGCTTATTTAATTCTTTAATTTCTCTCAATAATGTTTTATAGTTTCCAGTAATAAGTCTTAATGCTTCTTCTGTTAAATTTATTCCTAAATATTTTATTATTGTCCAAGCTATTATAAATAGAATTGTCCTATTGATTTCATTTCAAATTGTTAATGACTGGTATGTAGACATACATTGTCTTTTGTAGATTGATCTTGAACTCTGAAACCTTGCTAAACTTCTTTATTACTTTTAATAGTTTTTTAGTGGATTTGTCATATACGAGACCATGTCATCTGCAAAAAGAGAGTTTTACTTGTTCCTTTCCAAACTGGTTGCCTTTTATTTCTTCTTCTTGCCTAAGTGCCCTGGCTAGAACCTCCAGTACAATGTTGAACAGAAGGGACAATGGGGGACATCCTTGCTTTGCTCCTGATCTTAAGACGAGTCCACTGATCTTAGGGAACAAGCCTTTCACCATTAAGTGTGATGTTAGCTGTGGGGCTTTTATAAATGTCCTTTATCAGGTTGAA
The DNA here is from genome assembly GCF_000001405.40 of Homo sapiens. Lineage (NCBI taxonomy): Eukaryota > Metazoa > Chordata > Mammalia > Primates > Hominidae > Homo > Homo sapiens. The sequence goes on from NC_000021.9 coordinate 44,411,760, forward strand.
GAAGTTCCCTTCTATTCCTAGTTTCTTGAGTGTTTTTATTGTGAAGGAGTGGTAGACTTTGTCAGCTGCTTCTCCTGCACTTATTCAAATGTTCAGATGGTCTTTGATCCTTTTACTATTAATATGGTGCATTCCATCAATTGACCTTCGAATGTTAAACCAACTTTATGTTCCTGGGACACGTCCCACTTGGTCTTGGTGAATAATCTCTTTTACATGGTGCTGGATTCACTTTGCTAGCTGTTTTTTGATGATTTTTGCACCTATATTCATGAAGGTTATTGGTCTGTGGTTTTCTTTTCTTGTAATATGTTTGCCTAGTTTTGGCACCAGGATAATACTGGCCTCATAAAATGGCTTAGGAAGTAGTTCCTCCTCTTATATTTTGGAAGAGTTTGTAAAAGAGTGGTTTTAATTCTTCCGTGAACATTTGGTAGAATTCACCAGTGAACTCCTCTGAGTGTGGACTTTTCTTTGTGTGATGTTTTTAACTTACTAATTCAATCTCTTTATGTGTTATAGGTCTATTTATATTTTCTATTTCTTCTCCAGTCACCTTTGGTAGTTTGTGTCTTTCTAGGAATTTGTCCATTCATCTAGATCATCTAATTTTTTTAGCATACAATTTTCTCTAGGATTTCCTTTGAGTTCTTTTTCTTTTTGTAAGATTAGTAGTAATATCCTCTCTTTCATTTCTGATTTTAGCAATTTGAGCCTTCTCTCTTTTTTTCCTTGATCAGTCTTAGCTACAAGGTGGTAATTATTTTTGTTGCTCTTTTTCAAGAACTGAGTTTGGTTTGTTGACATTCATTGTTTTTGATTTCTCGATCTCATTTATATTCTAATCTTCATTCTTTCCTTCCTTCTGCTTGCTTTTGGCTTGTCTCAGGGAAAGCATCCAGTCTTTCCCACTGGGTATGATGTTAGCTGCAGGGTTTTTGTAAATGTCCTTTCAATCAAAGAGGTTCTCTTTGATTCCTAACTTCTTGAGTGTTTTTATTGTGAAAGGGTGGTTTGCTCTTCTTTTTCTAGTTTACTACAGTGGGAAGTTACGTTAATAATTTCAGCTCTTCTTTATTAATATAGGAATTTATAGCCATCAGAGTGCGTTTCTATCTTAGAAAATTAGTAACACATTCAAAATAGGTTTGATTACCCAATAATGCATTGCTCATTGTTGAACAATTTTAAAATTCAAGATAAGTATAAGGAAAGAATGTTATTCATAATTTCACCTCCCGGAGTTAACTACTGTTAACAACTTACTATGTTTCCTTAGAGATTTGTTTAAGGTAGAAGCTGTTTCCATATTCAATAGCCCTTACTTTCTATGCACGCAGGACGCTATTTTTCTTCACAATCACCCGTTTCACTTGTCGATACATTGCCTCTGCAACATCTTCCCTTTTCCACATCTCCACGTCTCCCTTCTCTTTGGGATAGTTGTTATTTTTTTCCTTTTCAATTCTTTTTTTTTTTTTTTTTTTTTAATTTTTGAGACAGACATTTGCTCTTGTTGCCCAGGCTGGAGTGCAATGAGGCAACCTCGGCTCACTGCAACCTCCACCTCCCTCCCGGATTCAAGTGATTTTCCTGCCTCAGCCTCCCGAGTAGCTGGGATTATAGGCGCCCGCCACCATGCCTGGCTAATTTTTGTATTTTTAGTAGAGACAAGGTTTCACCATGTTGACCAGGCTGGTCTCAAACTCCTGACCTCAGGTGATCCGCCCGCCTTGGCCTCCCAAAGTGCTGGGATTACAGGCATGAGCCACTGCTCCTGGCCTTTCCTTTTAAATTATTTCCACCAAATTGAACTCCCCAGGCTTGGGACCTGGTGCTGGCCCTGGCTGGGACCCTGGCAGTGCCCTGGTGGGTGGCACACCCTGGGCGGAGGCACGGGCCAGCCTGGGTGCAGCTCTGCCCCCGGGGCCTCCTACCTGCATCTGGCTGGAGACAGATGCCTCTTTCTGGACTTCTGGCCCAGAGGTGACAGCTGAGGTCACCCAAATGAGCAGCATCAGGCCTGCGGGGGACCTGGCAGTGACTGGAGGCCTCGAGGGCCCCCTCCTGCCAAGCTCCTCTTGACTCTGTGTTGTTTTCTTGGCTCACCCACCCCCATTCCCAACGCCAGGTGTGAACTTCAACCCGGAGCACTGCAGCCCCAATGGCACCGACCCCTACAAGCCTAAGTGCCCCGAGAGCGACGCGACGCAGCAGAGGCCGGCCTTCCCTGAGTGGCTGACGGTCCTCCTACTCTGCCTCTACCTGCTCTTCACCAACATCCTGCTGCTCAACCTCCTCATCGCCATGTTCAAGTGAGCGCCTGGGTGGGGCTGGCGTGCAGGTGGGTGGGTGGGCGGCGTTCCTGGGCCGCAGTGGCCATGCTGTCTCCAGGGTCTCGTGGACAGTGTGGATGATGGGCTGGTGCACAGAGGCGCGTCACTCATATCCTGGTGGAGTGTGCACAGCCACTCTCTGTGGTCACTGCTGCGTCTCTTGAGCTGGCGTGAGTCTGTCTCTTGAGCTGGCGTGGGTCTGTCCTTGTGGCTGCTGGGGACCCGCGGTGCTGTGGATCCACAAGGGCCCTGCTCACGGTGCTGCTGCGGAGGCAGCCTCCTCCCGCAGGGCAGGGATGTTGGTGTCAGCCTCGTTCCTTCTGCGCAGGCGCAGCATTATTCATGGGCTCACTGCTCTACCCGGGGAGCGTGCTGGGGCCGCTGCTGCTCAGGGCTGTCCCCTTGTCACCCCAAGGGCTCTGCCTGTGTCTCCCTGTTACTGAGCAAAAGGGCTCGCTGCCCGATGTGCAGGAGGCCAATACTATGACACCAGGTTTTTGAGAAAAGAAAAGCTTTTATTCTAGGCCAACCCACAAGGAGACAGGGGCGCAGTTCACGTCTGTCTCCCCGCGCTGGCTTTAATGCAGTGTTTCTATTAGGGAAGGTTCGGGGGTGGGTTCTTGGATGAGTAAGTGGCTGGTGGAAGAAAAGGGGGTTCTGGAAAGTTATGTCTCCTCATAGGTCTCGTGTGCACATTTGGGCGGAGTTACTGGGACCCTGGGGTGGAAACTCGGGCTGTGCAGACTCCAGCTGGCCACAGTGGTTCCAGCTGTGACCTCAGCCAGTTCCAAAAGCTCCTGCAAGCGAGTCTCAGCATCCCAGCAGGTGGCTTCTTTTCCCGTCTGCCATCTGTAAGTGTGAGCATTTCGGTTAGTTGCTGGGTTCTTTAGCTCTTTGGGGCCGGTTCCCCAGCCCTAGACGTGTTCCTGCTGCCCCCACCGTGTGCCTCAGACGGCGCTGGCTCTGCGGTGCCTTCCCCAGAGCTCCGATCCATCTGTGGACGGCTCTGTGTCTGCCCTCCCGTGCCATTGGGGTCTTCCTCATCTGCACGTCTTCACGTGCTTTGCTGGTTTTGTGGATTTGCACACACGTGTCCACCTCCTCTGGGCCTGGTGTTTGTGGCATCTGTGGCAGTTTGAATAACAGCCCCAGGGAGGTCCACACTCGAACCCTGTGGCTATGGGGCCCTATGTGGCAAAAGGGACTGGGAGGGTGGGGTTAAGTGGAGGATCCTGAGGTGGGAAATTATCTGGGGTTATCTGCATGGGCCCGACATCATCATGAGGGGCCGTGGAAGAGGGAGGCGGAGAAGGAATGTGACGGTGGCAGTGAGCGTCGGCGGGAGGGGAGAGCCTCAGCCCAGGAATGCAGGCAGCCTCTGGAAGGCAGGAAAGGCAAGGCATGGAGGCTCCCGACCTACGGGAGGAGCACAGCCCTGCCGAACCTTGGTTTTAGCCCAGTGAGACTCCTGACCTCCAGGACTGAGAGAAGAGTCTGATTGCTTTAAGCTGCCAAGGCCGTGGCGGTTCACTACAGCAGCATCAGGAGACCCATGCAGTAGCTGTTTCTTCTCTTTGAAAATGTCTAGGATTTTCTTTAAATCCTAGTGTCTTGAAGTCTTATCATAGAACTTTTGGAATGTTATTTGCTATTGTTGCTTTTGAAACAAGGAGTACAAAATAGGTGGCTGTCCATCCGGCCCCTGGTGGACGTGGTCCTCTGGGGTCGTATCTCTGATCAGCCGCAGCAGCTGTGGGCCCCAGGCTTTGGGGGTTCTGTTTTGCTCTTGCAGCTTTTAAACTTAGAACAAATTAAATGCTGAGGACCTCACACCAGAGGCAGCATAAAAAAGAACTCCAGGGAACCAGGAGGCCACGCAGAATGAAAACACAGGTGTTTGGGGTCCTAGTGGGCCCCAGGGTTGGCTCTGGGGGTTCTGTGGCCAATTCCTAGCCCTGACAGTGGAGCTGAGGAGCCCAGCACGGCTGCGGAGCTGTCATGGTCCACAGAAAGCCCAGTCTCCCCACGTTGCCCCCATAATTCAGAAAGCCTCCCAGGCCCTCAGAGCCCTTCCCAGCATCTGCAGACAGACCCTGTGCTACCCAGGACTCTGAAAATCCTTGTGTTCCTGGTTTTGTTAGGAACCAACCGTTTCTCTTCTTGTTTCATTGGCTAAGTTGCTGAGGTTGCCACCTTTCAGAACGTGGGTTCTGAACATTGAGAGAACCCGAGCATGGGCCAGGACTGTCATCTCGAGGCCAAGGGGCTGGTGGCAGGACACTGTCCCTGCAGCAAGTATGGCACCCACACTTCCGGCTCCCACTGCGGAGGGCTCTGTGCCTGTCACCCTGAGACACACCAAGGAGGCCCCTGCAGCCCTGCCCCTTCCACATGCACCCCTGGAGGGTCTGGCTCTTGTGCTCGTCAGAATCCACAGATCAGGTCCTAGAGTTCAGTGCCAGACAGTGTCTGTCTCCTGATAAACACCCACTTCGTGTTATTAGCCAGTGAGGCTTATAATATCGAAAGTCTGTGTGCTTCTCCTTTTTTCTTGCTTTGGTTCCCAGGAAGCCTGGAATTGTGAGGTCTGTGGGCTGAGTTCTGTGCCTGGAGCTGGCCTCCCGTGTGGCGTGGCTCTGCTCTCTGTGGCATCACAGTGGGCACGTGGGCATGGCTCTGCTCTCTGTGGCATCACAGTGGGCACGTGGGCATGGCTCTGCTCTCTGGCATCACAGTGGGCACGTGGGCATGGCTCTGCTCTCTGTGGCATCACAGTGGGCACGTGGGTGTGGCTCTGCTCTCTGTGGCATCACAGTGTGCACGTGGGCGTGGCTCTGCTCTCTGGCATCACAGTGGGCACGTGGGCGTGGCTCTGCTCTCTGTGGCATCACAGTGTGCACGTGGGCATGGCTCTGCTCTCTGGCATCACAGTGGGCACGTGGGCATGGCTCTGCTCTCTGTGGCATCACAGTGGGCACGTGGGCATGGCTCTGCTCTCTGTGGCATCACAGTGGGCATGTGGGCATGGCTCTGCTCTCTGGCATCACAGTGGGCACGTGGGCGTGGCTCTGCTATCTGTGGCATCACAGTGGGCACGTGGGCGTGGCTCTGCTCTCTGGCATCACAGTGGGCACAAGGGCGTGGCTCTGCTCTCTGTGGCATCACAGTGTGCATGTGGGCGTGGCTCTGCTCTCTGGCATCACAGTGGGCACAAGGGCGTGGCTCTGCTCTCTGGCATCACAGTGGGCACGTGGGCGTGGCTCTGCTCTCTGGCATCACAGTGGGCACGTGGGCGTGGCTCTGCTCTCTGTGGCATCACAGTGGGCACGTGGGCGTGGCTCTGCTCTCTGGCATCACAGTGTGCACGTGGGCGTGGCTCTGCTCTCTGGCATCACAGTGGGCACGTGGGCGTGGCTCTGCTCTCTGTGGCATCATAGTGGGCACGTGGGCATGGCTCTGCTCTCTGGCATCACAGTGGGCACGTGGGCGTGGCTCTGCTCTCTGTGGCATCACAGTGGGCACGTGGGCGTGGCTCTGCTCTCTGGCATCACAGTGGGCACGTGGGCGTGGCTCTGCTCTCTGTGGCATCACAGTGGGCACGTGGGCGTGGCTCTGCTCTCTGTGGCATCACAGTGGGCACGTGGGCGTGGCTCTGCTCTCTGTGACATCACAGTGGGCATGTGGGTGTGGCTCTGCTCTCTGTGGCATCACAGTGGGCATGTGGGCGTGGCTCTGCTCTCTGTGGCATCACAGTGGGCACGCAGGCGGTGAGAGGGGTCTGTTCTGGGTAAACACCCTGACCTCGAGGTGTTGCTTTCTCCTCCCTGACAGCTACACCTTCCAGCAGGTGCAGGAGCACACGGACCAGATTTGGAAGTTCCAGCGCCATGACCTGATCGAGGAGTACCACGGCCGCCCCGCCGCGCCGCCCCCCTTCATCCTCCTCAGCCACCTGCAGCTCTTCATCAAGAGGGTGGTCCTGAAGACTCCGGCCAAGAGGCACAAGCAGCTCAGTATGCCAGCCCCAGTGCCTCTCCTGAATGTCCTGGCCACCCGGGTGCAGAGGGGGTGGAGATGGCATGGCAGCTCTGCCCAGAACCCTGGACGCTCAGCAGGCGTGCAGGTCACTCAGGCTGCTGGCCTTCTGCTGGCCTTGAGCAAGTGGTGGGGGCTGAGCCCAGAGGCCCCCTTGGGGGCAGGTGTGCGATGGGCTCTTCCTGCCACTCAGGACTGGCCCCCTCCCACGGGGCCCCCCCGGTGGGTCAGGGCTTCAGGGCCCACCTCCTGAGGATTCCAGGTCCCCTGGTCTGTCCGCCCACCCTGACAGAGAACAAGCTGGAGAAGAACGAGGAGGCGGCCCTGCTATCCTGGGAGATCTACCTGAAGGAGAACTACCTCCAGAACCGACAGTTCCAGCAAAAGCAGCGGCCCGAGCAGAAGATCGAGGACATCAGCAATAAGTATGGGGGCTCCGGTGGGCCTGGGGGCGGGAAGCCTCTGGGGGACCTCCTGCAGGTCCACAGGCACCATGAGTACATGTCCCACCTGGGGAGGCCCAGCAATGCCTCACCGGTGAGGGAGCGCTGTATCCCGTGGCCCCTGCAATGCTGCAGGCATCCGGGCCTGTGCCCACAGCTGACCCAGGACCCTCTGCGGTCCTTAGGAAGGCTGGGCCCCACAGGGCGCAGGGTCAGAGGCTGGGAGGGAAGCCTTGGCGGCTGGGGGAGGGGCAGGTTGGCCCGCAGGATCCGGCTTGGAGGCCTGGGGGCATGTGCACACGGGGTCCAGGCTGGTTTGGGGGTGGTTTGCTCTGTGAGCTTGTTGGTGCACAGCCTTATTATAGCTTCTGCAGGACCTCGGCAGCCCAGCCCTCGGGGTCAGCCATGCTCAGCACCGTCCTCCCTCTCAGCTCCTCCCATCTTGCTTCTTTCCAAGGTGCGAGGTCAGTGTTGGGGGAACATCTGCTCCCTTCTCTCCACTGCCAGGCCTTCCGCCCTGCTAGGTGTCAGCAGGGCCTAATGGCCCAGCAGCGGGCAGCAGGAAGGGCTGCCCCCAGTGTCCTGCTCTCAGTGTGCGTCTCACCATGGCATGAGAGGAGGAGGGGGAAATGGACACGGTGCCACCTAGTTATGGCCGTGTGGAGGCTCCTGCAGCCACAAACAGGAGCATCCTGGAGCTGGCAAGGGATGGCCAAGACCAGGCCAAGTGCCCTCCCCCTTAGAGACATGTATGTACTCCTGCCTTTCCATACCTCCCTCACCTTGTCTGTAAGATGGAGACACGATAGTCCCTGTCTCTTGGAGTTGTTTCCAGAATACAGTGGGGTCCTGACTGTAAAGAATTGAGCACATATGCTGGAACTATAACCAGGGATCTGCTAACGTGGCTGGTGCTTTTATCATCACCCTTACTTATGAGTAGTGGGGGCGGTGGTGGTGATGGTGATGATGGTGGCTGCGATGGTGATGGTGGTGGTGGTGATGGTAGTGGTGGTAGTGGTGATGTTGGTGATGATGGTGATGTGGTGGTGATTGTGATGGTGGTGGTGTTGGTGATGGTGGTAGTGATGGTGATGATGATGGTGATTCTGATGGCTGTAATGGAAGTGGTGGTGATGGTGGTGGTGATGGTAGTGGTGGTGATGTTGATGGTGATGATGGCAGTGGTGGTGGTGGTGGTGGTGATGGTAGTGGTGGTGATGTTGATGGTGATGTTGGCAGTGGTGGTGGTGGTGATGGTGGTGATGGTGCTTCTGATGGTGGTAATGGTGGTAGCGGTGATGGTGGTGGTGGTGGATGGTAATGGTGATGGTGACAGTGGTGGTAGTGATGGTAGTGGTGGTGCTGGTGCTGGTGGTGGTGACGATGGTGGATGTGGTGGTGGTGATGATAGTGATGATGGTGATTATGATGGCAATAGTAATGACGATGGTGACAATGTGAGGACCTTAATGAACTAGCTGATGTCAAAGCCCCTTCTAGCTCCCATTCTGAGTGAACTAGATACACGTGTCCTGTTTGCTTGAGTCTGGGCATGATGACTTCCAGTTGAGCCCTTGGCATGCTCTTTGCCTAGAACAGTCTTCTCCCAGAGAGAGTCAGGACTTGCTGTCTCTCTCTATTCAAGCCTCACTTCATTGGAGGGCCTTTCCTGCCCTCCACCCACCCTGTCCCCATCCCCTGTCGTTCTGGAATCTGGATGTTGGTTGGTTGGCTGGTGGGTTTGTGGGTTGTGTCATGTCTAACTGCCAGGCTCCATGTGAGAGTAGGGACAGAGTCCCACATGTTCCCCATAGTATCCTGGGATGTAGAGCAGGCCCAGTGCCTAGAAGGCACTGAGGAAATCCTATGCAATTCTGGAACTGCTGTTAGTTCCTGGCCTGGCAGGGTTGCAGGAGGCTGGGGTCGCTGGTCTCCAGGCCTGCTCAGCCCTGACGTTTGGCTCTGATGGTCCACTTACAGAGGAGGGGGGCCTGGGGCCATGCAGTGCCCTGACAACCTTCTCTTACTTGCTGTTGCCAAGTACAGCTTTGATGGATGGCCTCGTCTGGGACTTTGAGCAGTGGCCATGCCCAGGGCCCAGATGCTGGGGGAAGGTGCTTGGGAGAGTTTCTGAAAGGCGGCCTCCGCATGTCAGGATGAAGCTGGAAGGCCACAGCTCTGCTGATGACCAACATAGTCAGGGCTGGAATATGATGGCTGGCATGTGTTAAGGGCTCATTGAGGACCACACCCTTCACCTGCATCATCTCGCTCAACCCTTTTGCAGAGGGAGGTATTTTTCCTTCCACTTTTACCCATGAGGAAGTGGAGGCCCAGGAAAGTGAGAGAGGTGGCTCAGCTTCCACCACTGGCCAGCGGTGTGGCCTGGAATGCAGGCCCCAGCAACTTTGCAGCCTCCTGCCTTAAGGGAGTGGGCTGGACCCCAAATGAATCAGTCCCAGGCCGGGCGCGGTGGCTCACGCCTGTAATCTCAGCACTTTGGGAGGCCAAGGTGGGTGGATCACAAGGTTAGGAGATCAAGACTATCCTGGCTAACATGGTGAAACCTCATCTCTACTAAAAATACAAAAATTAGCCGGGTGTGGTGGCGTGCGCTTGTAATCCCAGCTACTTGGGAGGCTGAGGCAGGAGAATCGCTTGAACCCAGGAGGCGGAGGTTGCAGTGAGCTGAGATCGCGCTGCTGCACTCCAGCCTGGGCGACAGAGCAAGACTCCACCTAAAAAAAAAAAAAATTTAGTCCCAAATGCCTCTCAGCTCCTGCCCTATCCCAGACATCTTAAAGCTCAGAGCTGGTCTGCTGCCTATTTCCCAGCCTAGGTGCTCAGTGGAAGTTGGGCGCCTCCAGTTATTTTCTGAGGTTGAAAAAGCTTAACTAAAATATAACTTTGCAGGCCAGGCACAGTGGCTCATGCTTGTAATCCCAACATTTTGGGAGGCTGAGGTGGGAGGATTGCTCGAGCCCAGGAGTTCAAGACCAACCTAGGCAACATAGTGAGACCCCCATCTCTACAAAAAATAAAAATAACAATTAGCCAGGCACGGTGGCTCATGCCTGTGATCCCAGCTACTAAGGAGGCCACAGCAGGAGGATTTCTTGAGGCCAAAAGTTTGAGACCAGCCTGGGTAACATAGTGAGACCCCATCTCTACAAAAAATAAAAAAACAACAACAAAAAAGGAAAGAGTAGCCAGGTGTGGTGGTGCACATGGGGTCAGAGTCCCAGCTGCTCAGGAGGCTGAGGCCAGGGGTTCGAGGCTGCAGTGCGCCATGATGGTGCCACTGCACTGCAGCCTGGGTGACAGGGTGAGACCCTGACTCTAATGCATATTTGTATGTGAGTAGAAGTTTTCCCAAGATGAGCCTGCAGAACGTGTTTCCGCTGGGCCGCTGGCTGGTGTGCTGAGCTGTCACTCCCATTGGTCAGCAGCTCTTGCTCATCCGCAGAGGGGCCTGGGACAGAAGCTGATGTGCTTCAGTCGACCTGATCTTGCAGAACACGGGCTCCAGGGAAAGTGAGGAAAGAGCTCCTCAGCCCGTACCAAGGGCCCTAGCCTGGTCACCGTCCCCTCCTCCAGTGAAGAAGCTGGGCACCTGGGAGGCGCATGAGTGTGGGGTGCCATAACCTTGCAGCACTGAGGTGAGCTGAGTTCACCAAAGCTCCTCGCCCACAGGGCAGGGCTGGAGCTTTGGGGGTCAAGGACAAGCTCTGTCTGCAAATCTAGACAGTTCCTGCATCTCACGGTGGTGGAATCACGCGGGTCCGAGAAGGCTCCAGTAACCACCCTCGCATGTTTGCAAGGCTGTCTGGGAAAACATGGCAGGTGCGGTTAAGCGGCTTTTGTGGGATTAAGCAAAATGAAATGTGGGTGAAAGGAGATGCCCAGGCCTGGAGCGAAATCACTTTCTTCCCTCTCCCTAGATAACTGTTTAAAGTGGGTCATATCCCCAGAAAGTTTCTGTGTTACTAAAATAGTTGCTCAGTGTATTATAAGAATATCACTTGCAGTGGGCGCTGTGGATGAAAGGAAGTGAGGGAGCCCAGGGGACAGCGGATGAGAGCTGGAGACTCGGGTTTGCCCACAGAGTTATTTTAACCATAAACACAGCAGGCCGAGGCTGGGCGAAGCAAAATAAGACAGAAACCAAACATTTCCAGAATAATAGCGCCGCTCTACAACCCCACAAAATAAGACAGAAGCCAAATACTCCCAGAAAAACAGCGCTGCTCCACAACCCCCACAAAATACGACAGACACCAAACATCCTTAGAACAGCAGCACTGCTCCACGACCCCCACAAAATAAGACAGAAACCAAACATTTCCAGAATAATAGCGCCGCTCTACAACCCCACAAAATAAGACAGAAGCCAAATACTCCCAGAAAAACAGCGCTGCTCCACAACCCCCACAAAATACGACAGACACCAAACATCCTTAGAACAGCAGCACTGCTCCACGACCCCCACAAAATAAGACAGAAACCAAACATTTCCAGAATAATAGCGCCGCTCTACAACCCCACAAAATAAGACAGAAGCCAAATAACTCCCAGAAAAACAGCACTGCTCCACAACCCCCACAAAATACGACAGACACCAAACATCCTTAGAACAGCAGCACTGCTCCACGACCCCCACAAAATAAGACAAAAACCAAATATTCCCCAAGCAACAGTGCCGCGCCACATCACCCCCAAAACAAAACCAACCTCTGCTGTGCCCAGAGGAAGTTTCATTGTTTGTGACCTGTCACCTGGCCCTCCCTCAGTTCACTCACCTCCCCCTCTCTCCTGGGACCGACAGGCTGCCAGAGCTTGCCATGTGAGCCTCGGCTGTCCGTCTGCTGAGACATCTTCCCCTCTGGGGCCCTGGGCAGTTTGGTTCTATGGGAGAAATGCATGTTAGAAATAGTTTCATATTAAGAGGAAGCAAAGGCTGACACAGGGCCTTGGTGGCTGCATCTGGCAGGGCTGTCTGCAGAGCGGTGTGGCGTTCCCAGGGCCCCAAGGTGTGGTGTGCGTCCAGCTCAGCTGCTTCCTCTTTCAGGGTTGACGCCATGGTGGACCTGCTGGACCTGGACCCACTGAAGAGGTCGGGCTCCATGGAGCAGAGGTTGGCCTCCCTGGAGGAGCAGGTGGGTCCGAGGTCGGGGCCTCCGTCAGGAGGTGCCACTGCTGGGCCTGGTGGGCGGCTCTGCCATGTGGTGGCACCAAGAAGGAGGGCTCTGAGGAGTGATGGTGAGGAGGAGGCCGGAACGTTGGGGCAGCCATTCCCAGCTGGAAGAGGCACCCTGTGTGTCCTCCAGAAAACCCCGCCCAAGGGTTTCTGTGACTGAGTTCCTTCTGTGTGCACTGAGGCCTCCACGGCCGGGCTGTGCTCCTCGCTGCTCCCAGGAAACAGAGTGCTTCTCCCCTCCCGGCCTCCAGGGAGGCTGTGGGACTCTGTGCCTGAGCCCTGGAGAGGCCGCAAGACCGAGGTGGGGAGGACTTAGAGACGGCCTCTCAGGGTCTGCTCCCACCACCCCATCAACGTCCACCAGCTGGGCCGGGCTGTGCTGTCCAACAACAGCACCTGCGGCCACGGCAGCCCCTGCGGGCAGTGCTGAGCCCTGTGGATGGCTCAGCCACCCTGTGCTGCTGCTCCCAGCCTTGCTCTGTGGGGCAGGGCTGGGACCTGTGCTGCTGGGGCATCCACCATCCACCAGTCCTGCCCGTTGCACCCAGGGGTCTGCCCAGGCCGCCCTCTACCCCTGTCTTGGCCATGCTGGGACCCCTGACAGGGTGCCCAGCACTGAGCCACACGAGTGAGACATGTCCCACTGTCCCCTGTGGGAGGCGCATCAGCCTCTGGGGAGGCTCCTCCTGGGAGGTGCAGGAACCCTGGAAGCCTCTGGCTTTGGCGGCCTGTGACCTCTCCCTGTGGTGCAGAATTGCCTGACTGTGCCTTCATGCTGGCTCCATCCTCTGGCTTGTCCAGTGCAGTGACAGTCCCACTGTTGTGTCTCTTGGGGAGGCTGCACCATCAGATGTGTGACTTGGCAGCCCCCGGGGGGAGCCGGGTGGGCCTGGGGCAGCGTTCTGGCTGGCTTGGTGGCTGCCTGGGGAGGACGTGGTGTCTCACTTTCAAAGGGCGCAGGGGCTGAGTGACAGGGGTGGGGCTCCTGGCTGGGGGAGTGAAGTCTCGGTGGGCAGTGGGGTGTGTACCATGCGTGTGGGTGGCAGGTGCTCACTGTGTCTCGGGCCATGCCTTCCAGGTGGCCCAGACAGCCCAAGCCCTGCACTGGATCGTGAGGACGCTGCGGGCCAGCGGCTTCAGCTCGGAGGCGGACGTCCCCACTCTGGGTGAGTGGGTGGCCAGGCCAGCAGCTGGTCTCCAGCCGCCTGTTTCTTTTGGGTCTGGGGTCAGTTGGGAGGAGAGGCAGCTGGGGGTGGGGGGCTCTGTCCAGGAGGAAGGCACTGGCTGCAGCCTGTTCCAGGCAGGGCCAGCGCCCTCAGGAACTCAGCCCACCCACCGACGCTGGCGCCGAGGCCCCGCCCAATCCCTGACCTGACCTGGTTCCTGGACGTCCACGGGGAGGCCTGGCCTGCTGTGCCCTGAGCTCCCCACATACCGCACTGCAGAGTGGGGGTGCGAGGCGGGCGGCTGCAGACTGTGTCTGAACCTGGTCACGTAGGCTGAGTGACGAGAAGCAAAGTCTGTTTTCCTAAATTCGCAGCCGGCTATGAAATGCACATCAGTAGCCTTCCTCGGGCTGCTGAGTTTCGCCGGCCCTCAAGGAGCATATTTGCCCTCGTAACCGCACTGCGAGTTCAGCTCATTGCCGAGGGCCCTGACTGCCGCTGCACAAAGAGGCAGGTGCCGGCGGGGACGCTGCCTGAGCTCCCGTGGCTGTCCTCCCTGGGGGCCCTGCCCACTTCAGAGCTGGTGTTCGACCTGCATGGCCATTTGGGCTCGGGGAGGTGGAGGAGCCCAGATGTTTTGGCGGAAGGACCACAGAGGAAGTCCTTGTCCTGCGGGCGGGCACCTGAGCCCGGGCTCCGCCTTGCGTCACGTCTTCCTGACTGTCCCCAGCCTCCCAGAAGGCCGCGGAGGAGCCGGATGCTGAGCCGGGAGGCAGGAAGAAGACGGAGGAGCCGGGCGACAGCTACCACGTGAATGCCCGGCACCTCCTCTACCCCAACTGCCCTGTCACGCGCTTCCCCGTGCCCAACGAGAAGGTGCCCTGGGAGGTGAGCGCCTGCCCAAGCCCAACCAGGCGGAGTGGCCGGGCCCCTGGGGAGGGGAGGGCGGCCCTGTCCCCATCCATCTGGTATTAATCCTGGCTCCCAGCCACTGCAGCCACAGGGGGATCTGTGCGTCTGGCAGCCCCTGTTTGACATTTGAGGAAACCGAGGCACAGAGAAGTCAAGTCACAGGGGCCTCACAGCTGGAGGTGGTGGAGGGGCCTGAGGGGGGCACACTGATCCCCACAGAGCTCGAGGCTTAGGCTCCTCCCATGACCATCCCAGGGCCCAGCCCCCCGGCCCCATTCCCCCAGGTCATGCCCTGGTCCTAGACCCCACCCACCCCGGTGAATGGCTCTGGCCCCTTTCCAGGTGCCAGGCATGGAAGAGAGACAGAGACACAGAGACAGAGAGATGGCTAATGGCCCCTGGGAGACCCCCGCCCTCCTGGTGCAGGGCTTCTCTCTGGCCTATCCAGAACATTCCAGGCTGCTGCTTCCGCTGCCTCCCCTTGGTCTCTACCACATAGAATCCTCCTTGCCTCTAGGGTCCAGCTTAGCCCCCTGCCCCACTCTGGGAAGACCCCCAAGGCCCCCAAGTCACGGCCACCTGCCCTTCAGCTGGCCCCAGGGTGGGGGTCCCTGATCCCAGCCCCCGGCCCTGCCCAGCCCCCAGCTCTGCCTGGCACCCGGATCTGCCCAGCTTGGAGCTTCTGCCCTGCATGTTGGGATGTTGGGGTCGGGTTCAGACCCAGCTGAGCAGCCCTTTCACCCTGGTGCCTGGCCCAGCTTTGCAGTGGGGGTAAAAATCTGAGGGAAAACTCCCTGTTTTGCGACAGACGGAGTTCCTGATCTATGACCCACCCTTTTACACGGCAGAGAGGAAGGACGCGGCCGCCATGGACCCCATGGGAGAGTGAGTATGAGCCGCTGTCCGTGCTCCCAGCTGGCCCCAAACCCAGGGCCTCCTAGGGGCTCCCTTGAGAATCCCAGTCAGAGCCCAGCCCGGGGAGGTCCAGGTGAGCAGGAGGGGCCCGTGGGGGCCTGAAGGGGCCCAGCTCCTACTGTTGTGTACACCCAGCCTGCAGCTACTCGGCTGGGCCCTTGGTGGGGGGGTGATCCCTCTGCCTGTCTGCTCTGTCCCACCTGCAACACGGGCACACAGACACGCCTTCTCCTCTGCTCCCAGCACCCTGGAGCCACTGTCCACGATCCAGTACAACGTGGTGGATGGCCTGAGGGACCGCCGGAGCTTCCACGGGCCGTACACAGTGCAGGCCGGGTTGCCCCTGTGAGTGTGCCCCCTGCGGGCCCCGCCCCGTCAGCCTTTGGGGTTTGCCTGGGGGGCAGGTTTCCTCTCTGGGCAAAGGAAGCATTTTTCTCATAAAACAAAATCAAAAAAAGCACGTGAGCCACCGAAAGGAAGAAAACATCAACTCACTGCATCTCCGTAGCCCCCAGGACTGGGCTTGGGGGCGTGGGACTTGCCCCCTGGCCTCGGGCAGGCCCTGCCCCATGGTCCCTGCCGTAATCTGGGGACGTGGATTTGTCTGTGTACGTGGGGATGGCTGTGCTGGGAGAGGACGATGCCTCAGAGGATGGGCAGGGGCTGTGCGGCAGGGAGGGGACACGGAGATGGGCACTGGCAGGCTTACCTGGCCGGGAAGGTGGCCTCGCCTGGCATCCTGTTCCCCACAGGATCGGCGCTGCACCCATCACACAGGTGAGGAAACCCAAAATAAAGGTGTCAAGTGTCCTGTGAGCACCTACAAGTGCCCTGGAAGGAAGGAGCCTGGGAGTCTTGGACCCTGCCATGAGGAGGAGGTGGAGGAGGGGCCACCAGAACCTGGGACTGGGGGGTTGCCGGGATGTGGGGCATGAACCATGGAGCAGAGGAACCAAAGGGTCTGAAGGACGGGGGGACTGCGTGGCAGGCCTTTGCAGAATGCTCTGGAACAGGGTGTGGGCTCCTCTGCCTGGAGCCGGAGGTTGAGTAAGGAGGTGGTAGGAGGCGATGGGGCCTGAGAGCAGAGGTCCTGGCCAGGTGGCTGCAGCTGCAGGCGGCCCGCTCTGGTGTTGGGGGTATGTGGGACGGGCAAGGGCGGGTGTTTAGGGAGGTGCATCCGGTGGCTATGGGAAGCTGACGAGGAGAGCAGCAGGTGCCTGGCATGGGCAACAAGGCGTGAGCACCTGCTCTCACGGGTGGCTGCCACACAGGCAGGTGTGTCAGGACTTGGCAGGACGTGGTGTCCATGCGGGCTTTAGTAGTGCAGAAGAGCACTTTCTGTATGCACCATGCTTCTGTTGTGGACTTGCGAATCATATTTTCATTATATTTCCTTAGGTGTGTTCTCTTTCTATGAAATTATAAAGACACACCTTCCTATATTCATTTGATACATTTTAAAATTAGTTTTTTTCACTGAGACTTTAATACAGCTGAAGGCTGATTGTATAAGGTGTGAGGAGGGGCCTGATTTATTTTGTGAATTCACAGAGAAAGTGAGCTGCCTGACTTCATTTCCTGCTAAGATCTGGCCCCTCCCCTGAGGTGTGGCTCCTCCCTGAGGTGTGGCTCCTCCCCTTAGGTGTGGCTCCTCCCCTTAGGTGTGGCTCCTCCCCTTAGGTCTGGCCCCTCCCCTGACGTGTGGCTCCTCCCTGAGGTGTGGCTCCTCCCCTGAGGTGTGGCTCCTCCCTGAGGTGTGGCTCCTCCCTGAGGTGTGACTCCTCCCCTTAGGTGTGGCTCCTCCCTGAGGTGTGACTCCTCCCCTTAGGTGTGGCTCCTCCCCTTAGGTCTGGCCCCTCCCCTGAGGTGTGGCTCCTCCCTGAGGTGTGGCTCCTCCCCTTAGGTCTGGCTCCTCCCTGAGGTGTGGCTCCTCCCCTGAGATGTGGCTCCTCCCTGAGGTGTGGCTCCTCCCCTTAGGTGTGGCTCTTCCCTGAGGTGTGGCTCCTCCCTGAGGTGTGGCTCCTTCCCTGAGGTCTGGCTCCTCCCTGAGGTGTGGCTCCTCCCCTTACGTCTGGCTCCTCCCCTGAGGTGTGGCTCCTCTTTCAAAGCTCTGTATGCCTCTGTCCCAGTCATCTCATAGCAGATCATGCCACTATTTGCCACAGCGTTGCAGTAATCCTGACTCTGGGATAGCATGTCTTTAAACCTGCCTTTTCTAGTCTTGAGCCTTTAGCTTTTTTGTGAGTTTAAAAGCCAGTTTTTCTAGCTCCATGACAAATCCATTGATAAGAATTGTATTAAATTTATAGAAAAATTTGAGACAATGGACACTTTTATGATAATGAGTCTTCTATGACTGTATTTGTCAACATTTATTTATGTCTTCTCTTTGTCCTTCCCTAAAGTTTTATAATTTTGTTCATAAAGATCTTACATTTTTAAATAATATTTATTCCTCAGGTATTTGATAACTTTTGTTATTTGGGGTAATTATAACATTTTTTTCTTTTTCTTTTTTTTTTTTTTTTTTTTTTTTTTGAGATGGAATTTCACTTTTGTTGCCCAGGCTGGAGTGCAATGGGGTGATCTTGGCTCACTACAACCTCTGCCTCCTGGGTTCAAGCAATTCTCCTGCCTCAGCCTCCTGAGTAGTTGGAATTACAGGCATCCACCACCATGCCCAGCTAATTTTGTATTTTTAGTAGAGATGGGGTTTCACCATGTTGGCCAGGCTGGTCTTGAATTCCTGACCTCAGGTGATCCACTCGCCTCAGCCTCCCAGAGTGCTGGGATTACAGACATGAGCCACCATGCCTGGTGTATAACATTTTTTTATATTTTCAATTTTTAAAAATATATATAGGGGCATTATTAATTTTGTTTGCTGACTTTGTATCTAACAACTTTATTAAACCTTCTCGTTAATTATATAAATGTGTTTGTAGATTTTCTATGTAAATAATATATATTCTGCAAATAACAATATTGTCTTTCTCCTTACAATAATCATGCCTCATTCCTTTTTCTTGCCTTATTGTGCTGGGTAAATTCTTCAGTGTAATTTAGAATATTGGTAATATTAACAGGCTTCCTTGTTTCTGACTTAATGGAAATGCTATCAACATTTCACCATTAAGTATGGTATTTACTGAAGAAATTTATAAATACCTTTTATTGGATTAGGAATGTTTCTATCTAGTCCCAATTTGTCAGGGGCTGAATGCTACTAAATGGTTTTTCTGCCATTGATTGAGATAGTTATAAGATGTTTCCCCTTTAGCCAATTAGTGTGTGAATTATTTTTATAGCTCCTTTAGTGTTGAGCCATCCTTGCATTCCTGGAATAAACTCTTCTGTTATATTTAACGTACTGCTGGAGTTAATTTACTAACATTTTACTTAAGATTTTAAAAAATCTGTGTTCAAAAGTGGAATTTGCCTATAATTTATATTTCTTGTACTGTCTTACTTTGGTTTTGGTATGAGGTTATACCAGTCTCAATGAATGAGCTGGTCAGCTTTCCTTCTTTTCTCTTCTTTACAAAGAAGAGAATGTTTGTATGAGGTGGAGATAATTATTTGTTTCTTAAAGTCTGATAATACTTAGCTATATAACTGTTAGCTCTAACATATTTTGAGCAAGTGGATTTCTTTTTTTTTTTTTTTTTTTTTTTGAGACGGAGTCTCGCTCTGTCGCCCAGGCCAGACTGCGGACTGCAGTGGCGCAATCTCGGCTCACTGCAAGCTCCGCTTCCCGGGTTCACGCCATTCTCCTGCCTCAGCCTCCCGAGTAGCTGGGACTACAGGCGCCCGCCACCGCGCCCGGCTAATTTTTTGTATTTTTAGTAGAGACGGGGTTTCACCTTGTTAGCCAGGATGGTCTCGATCTTCTGACCTCATGATCCACCCGCCTCGGCCTCCCAAAGTGCTGGGATTACAGGCGTGAGCCACCGCGCCCGGCCGAGCAAGTGGATTTCTAACTACTTTATCTTCCATAATGATTTTTCGAATCTTATTTCCTGTTTCTTCTTGGGTCCTTTTTAGTAATTGTAAATTTTCTGGAAAATTATAATTTCATCTAACTTTTGAAATGTATTGTGTCACAGATGTCCATAATATTCTTTTATGATTTAAAAAATAATATAAATATATAGTAATTTCTCTTTTGAGCATTGATATTTATTATGTATTTCTCTTCTTTTTTTTTTTGATTATTCTTGCCAGTGGCTTAATTTTATAATCTTTTCAAAAAACTAACTTTTGGATTTGTTGATTATCTTAATTTTTCGATCTCATCCATTTTTGCTTTTATTGTTATCTTTCCTTCCTTTCTACTTCTTATGGATTTGCTCTTGATTTGTGTGTTAGAGCTCATTTTTATTCAACTTTCCTGGTTTTCTAATAAGGGTACCTAAGACTGTAAATTCTCTCTAAGACCTGGTAGGCTGTAACCCTTAAATTTTGATGTGTAGGGATTTTATTTTTTACTTTATGAATTTCATTATAATCTTCATTTTACACTTTTGTTTTGCTCTTTTTTTTTTTTCTTTTTGTGGAGAATGAGGTCTTGCTCTATTGCCCAGGCAGATCTTAAGCTCCTGGGCTCAAGCTATCCTCCTGCCTCTGCCTCCTCAAGTGCTGGGATTACAGATGTGAGCCACCACGCCCAGCATAGTCTTCATTTGATTGTTTAGTGATGTACTTTTAGCTTTTTTTATCTTGAGATGGAGTCTTGCTCTGTACCCCAGGATGGAGTGCAGTGGTGCGATCTTGGCTCACTGCAACCTCCGCCTACTGGGTCCCAGTTCAAGCAATTCTCCTACCTCAGCCTCCCAAGTCACTGGAATTACAGGCACGCACCACCATGCCAGCTAATTCCTTTTGTATTTTTAGTAGAGATGGGGTTTCACCATGATGGTCAGCCTGGTCTTGAACTCCTGACCTCGTGATCCGCCCGCCTTGGCCTCCCAATGTGCTAGGATTACGGGCGTGAGCCACTATGCCTGGTCATGTGCTTATAGTTTTTAAGCCATTCTTTGTTATCACCTTCTAGTTTTATTGCATTTTTGTTGGAGCGGGATTGGCAACACGCTGATTCTTGAAATTGAAATGTCCTCCGTGGCCCGTCTCTACCCTGGGTTGTTGCAGCTGTTTGGCTGTAACCCTAAACTAACACCTAACCCCTAACCTTAACCCTAACCCTAATCCTAACCCCTAACCTTAACCCTAACCCTCTTGGCCCATTCACAACAGCAGCCTGTGTGAGCTTGTCTGACTCAAGTCATTCACACACTCAGATGCCCTTTCTGGTATAGGAGTGACTGTCCCCACGTCTGTCTGGGGCCAGCCCCCTCACTGTATTAGTTTTCTATGGCTGTTGTAACTAAGTACCACAAACTGGGGGGCTTAACAGAAATGGATTATCTCACAGTTCTGAGGGCCAGGAGTCTGAAATCAAGGACCACACTCCCTCTGAGGGCTTGAGGGGAGACCTCTTCCTGCCTCTCCAGCTCCTGGTGTTCCTGGCAGCCCTTCGTGTTCCTTGGCTTGTGATCTCTGCCTCCCTAGCCACATGGCCTCTCCCTGCACGTGTCTGTGTCTCTTCTGTTCTTAGGATTATAAATCGTACTGGGTTTAGGGCCAACCCTATTCCAGTGTAGCTTCATCTTAACTAATTACACCTGCAGACACTATTTCTGAACAAGGCCAGATTCTGAGGTTCTGGGAAGGACATACATTTGTGGGCATTGTTCACCCCAGTGCATCTTTGTGCTAGACCCATCTCCCATTGCCTTTCAAGGACCTCATCCCGGGAATGTCCTGCTCCTCCTGCACCCGGGTCCTCCTGCCCTCTTGCATTGCTCCTGCCAACATAAACTAAACAAGCCCCTGCCCGCAAGTCCCTTCCTCTTTCGAATCCACTCCACTTGGGCTTTGCTTGCCCCCTCTTTCTGAGATGGATTGAGGTCAGGTCAGCAAAGATTCTGCCTTGTTCAACCCATAGGCCAGCTCTCCACCCCTCAACCCACCTGCATTTCTGGAGCTGAGTGGATGAGTGAATGAACGTGTGATTGCTGTAGCCAGACTGTCGCTGTTTTTGCGCTTTGGGGTTGTGTGCGTAGGTTTATGGACGGGCCTATGCCTTGATGTCGTGATGGAACTACCGGGCACGTGGCAGGGAGATGAGGGGTTGAGAACCATATGGACGAGATCATGACCGGGGGATCAGAGATCAGGGCACAGTGAGAGCAGCTGAAGACTCAGGTGTGGGGTGGGGGCTGCGGTGGGAGGAGGGCAGCATGGTGGTCCGAAGCCCCTGCTGCCCGGCCCGCTCAGGCTGACTGAGAAGCAAGGGTGCAGAGTGTTTGTTTCCCTCCTGGCAGAAGCGAGCGTGCATGTGGTAGGAGCTGGCAGGCCCCTAACCTCCCTCCTGGCTCTGCCACTGGCCGACTAGGGATGGGGACAGTGAGATGACAGCAGGGCCCTGGGGCCCAGAGCTTCCTGTGGGGGTGGACTCATGCCAGGCAGAGCGTGTGGCCTCCTCTGTGAGCTTCTTGACCAATGCACTGCACTCAGCACGAACAGCAGTTACAGGGAGACGAGGCAGCCTTGCTCCCAGCAGCACGACCTCTGCCTTCCTCTCCTTCTGGAGCTCAGTGCAGCTCTGCCCAGTGCCGAATTTGTCCGTGGCCTTGGTTCTGGGTTCTGCCCGCTCAGTGGCGTGAGTGCAGGAAGGAGAATGGTGGCTGGCAAGGGCGGGGTGGACGGGAGTGAGAGACGGGCTTGGGGTTGAGGGGAGGCAGCAGTGACCCTCGCAGGAACCCTGACTGAGCCCCGGCCTTCGAGCTGAGGTCCCCAAGCCTTGCTGCATGTGTTGCCAGCTCTGTAGCTGGGTGGGGCCGGGGCTCTGGTTTCTGAGCAGCTTCTGGGGAGGCTGCCTGGGCCCCACCGTGCAAGGCCCCCCGGCCACAGAGGAGACCGCAGAGTGAGCTGGGAGGGCTGTCTGAGAGGCCTGGCCAGGTGGGCCCTACACACTGGGCATGTTCTGGTGCGGACTCTGATCGCTGTGGGCTCGGGCAGGTCTGCGCAGAGGTGTGACGAGAGCTGGGACCCCTGACAGCTGGGCGGGAACAGGGTGGCTGCTGAGGGGTAACAGAGAGGAGGGGCTGGGTGGAGGCAGGGAGGCCAGCTGGAGGCTGCCCCGCCAGGCAGGGTCAGGGACGGTAGCGCAGGCCTGGCTGGTGGCCGCCGGTGCTAGAGGTGGTCAGCTGTCCTGGGGCAGCCACGGTCAGCTGTCCTGGAGCAGCCACGCACTGCCGCGCAGACTCAGGAGGATGGAGTCTAGGCTGTGGGGAGAGGAGGCCATGAGGGGTGGGTCAGAGGCTGCAGCTCTGATGGGGTCTGGAGGTCAGAGTGGAATGGTGGAGGAACGATACCACTGTCCCCACTGTGGCATGGATGGTGGTGGGGACTGTGGTGGGGACGGTGGCGGGGACGCTGGCGGGGACTGTGGCAGAGACGCTGGCAGGGATGGTGACGGAGACTGTGGCGAGGACTGTGGCAGGGACGCTGGCAGGGATGGTGACGGGGACTGTGGCGGGGACACTGGTGTTGGGAACGCTGGTGGCGGGGATGGTGGCGGGGACGGTGGCAGGGATGCTGTCGGGGACTATGGCGGGGATGCTGCTGGGGACCTTCTGTAGACGTGGATGCCGCCCCCACCGCACGATAGCGGCAGTGCATTTCTTCCTTCTGTTTTAGTGGTACATTCACAGGAAATCGCCCGTTTCTAGAACTTGCTGTTTCATATAGGACCTGGTGGTGTCAGGGAGACCAGCCTGGCCCCATGGGAAGCGTCTGTGGCTCCTGCTGCCCGTGGTTAGCACACTCTGCTGGGGGTCTGTGTGGCCTATCATCTGTGGCCACACGGACGCAGGGCCTCTGGGTGTCTGGCCTGGTTCCCACACTGCCCCTCGGAAGGCTGCCAGGATGGAGGCCATGCTCTCGCGTGCTGGGGCCTTTGGATGCAAAGTGCTGGCCCGAGCAGTCGGCCAGTTCCATGCTCCGTGGGGAGAAGGTGGCCACTTTAGCCCCTCGCTGGCCTGCAGTGGCCGGACTTCTGCTCCCAGGGAGACCCTTCCCCCACCAGGTGACCCCGAGTTAACCCAGAGCCTTGGTCTCACTCCTTGGGGGTCCCAAAGGGATCCTACTCCCTAGGCCAGAGCAGGTCTCTAAAGAAGCCTGCATGCTGTCCCGCTGTGCGCCGGCTCCTGACGCCCGCTGTCCCCTCTCAGTCCCCCTCCCTGCCCTGTCCTGCTCCCCCATTGGTGGACGGTGGACTGACTCAACCCCTCTGCATCCCAGGAACCCCATGGGCCGCACAGGACTGCGTGGGCGCGGGAGCCTCAGCTGCTTCGGACCCAACCACACGCTGTACCCCATGGTCACGCGGTGAGTTCATGTGTGCCGGGCACCAGCACCTCAGCAAGGCGGTCACCCCACCTTCACAAGGGGCGGCTGCCATTGCCCAGTGCTCAGGGGCCGGGAGGGCGGCTTTGATGCTTGGCACTTGGTGCCTACTGGGGGGATGCGGGAGGCGTCTGTGGATAAACGTGAATATGCCCGAAATGGGGCAGGAATGTCCATGCTGCCCATCCTGGAGGAAGATCCCAGGACCCATCCCCTCTCCCGGGGCTGCCTTCACTTTCCTGCCGGTCCCTGCCCATTAGAGGGCACCCTCCACGGGGACACAGCCCCACACTCACCCCTAAGTCTCACTCCTCCATTCCCATCCACGGGGACACAGCCCCACACTGACCCCTCAGACTCACTCTCCACACCCATCCACGGGGACACAGTCCCACACTCACCCCTCAGACCCACTCTCCACACCCATCCACGGGGACAGAGCCCCACACTCACCCCTCAGACTCACTTTCCACACCCATCCACGGGGACACAGCCCCACACTCACCCCTCAGACTCACTCTCCACACCCATCCATGGGGACACAGCCCCACACTCACCCCTCAGACTCACTCTCCACACCCATCCACGGGGACACAGCCCCACACTCACCCCTCAGACTCACTCTCCACTCCTATCCACGGGGACACAGCCCCACACTCTCTCCTCAGACTCACTCCTCCCCACCCATCCACAGGGACACAGCCCCACACTCACCCCTCAGACTCACTCTCTACTCCCATCCACAGGGACACAGCCCCACACTCACCCCCTCAGACCCTCTCCATACTCATCCAGAGGGACACAGCCCCACACTCAACCCCCACCACAGGCTCATTCCTCCACACCCATTCACACACAGGGACACAGCTCCACACTCACCCCCTCAGGCTCACTCCTCTGCACTCCAGCAGCTGGCCCACTGCTCTCACCCAAGGCACGGGCCGCCTTCTGTGCAGGTGCAGACGCCTGCGTCCCTGAGGAAGCTGCCGGGGGCTCTTGCTGCCCCCATTGGGCAGGAATGGGATTCTGGGGCCCAGGCCCAGCTGCTGTGCCCTGTGCTCTCTGGGGCCTCTGCCTCCACAGCTGGGACCTCCCCCCAGCGGAGGGGCCTTTGGCCTCAGGGTCCTCTTGCTGCCCAGCCACTCTCACCCAGTGGCTTCTCTGGCCGTGCAGACATGGCCCTGGGGTGCGAGTCACTCTCTGCTCCCCAGTCCTTTGGCCTCTCCTTGGCCTGCCCAGGTGGCACTCGGCACCCCACGTCACCCCCACGTCACCCCCGGGCTGCACTCTGCACCCCATGTGACCCCCAGGTGGCACTTGGCACCCCACGTCACCCCCATGTCACCCCCATGTCAACCCTGGGCTGCACTCAGCACCCCATGTCACCCCCACATCACCCCCAGGTGGCCCTCGGCACCCCACATCACCCCCAGGCTGCACTCAGCATCCCACGTCACCCCCGGGAGGCACTCAGCACCCCACATCACCTCACTGGATTCCCACTGGCATTTTCTAAGAGTGGTCAAACTGCAAAGCTGGGTCAAAGGGCAGGTACCTCTCTAAGGATTTTAATGTTTAAAAAATTCTCCATGAAGGCTGGGTCTCTTTCTAGTTCTACCAGCTATGATGGAAGTGAAGAAGGACGTCCCCTAAGTGGTTACTATCTCAGTCTTTTCCCTGGGGATGAAGAACTTGAAAAAGAACACGGTTTGAGCCTGCAGTGGGCCTGACACTGCCCCGCCCCAGGCAGGGCCAGCCCCGCCGCGGCGCAGGGGAGGGTGGAGGCCGCAGCGGGTCCTGGGCAGCCATGGCCGCTCTCTCCGCAGGTGGAGGCGGAACGAGGATGGAGCCATCTGCAGGAAGAGCATAAAGAAGATGCTGGAAGTGCTGGTGGTGAAGCTCCCTCTCTCCGAGCACTGGGCCCTGCCTGGGGTAAGGCTGCCGCGTGTGGGACCTCTGTCCACTGGGCTGTCTGTGGGTCACTCGTCCATTCATCCATTCTGCCCACGGACTGGACACCAGCCCCCTGCAGCCCCCTGCAGCCCCTGGGCAGGGAGGGTTCGAGA
Source organism: Homo sapiens (assembly GCF_000001405.40). Lineage (NCBI taxonomy): Eukaryota > Metazoa > Chordata > Mammalia > Primates > Hominidae > Homo > Homo sapiens. The sequence goes on from NC_000021.9 coordinate 44,437,302, forward strand.
CCCCGCCTGTTTTGTCTGTAGAAGACACTCCTCCTCCCTTTTCCTCATGTTGCAGTTAGGAAAACCCAGGATCAGAGGATCTTTTGGTGCATAAACACTAACGGGGCACCTACTGTGTCCCAGGCATGGGCTGGGCTGCGGCTGGAGGCCACCTGGGCTCCCCTTGTGGAGTTCAGGGTGTTGGGGGCAGAGGTAGCTCTTCTCCCGTGTCTCAGACACCAACCAGCTCCTGACCTTCAGGGCCAGGTGCTGAGCCATAAATATAGGACGGTGTCATCCAGGGGTAGGGGCAGGTACAGGAGTAGGGGCAGGGGCAGCGACAGGGGTAGGTAGGGCCCAGGGTTGTGCACAGGCCCCTCAGCTCAGGGGCTGGTTGTGGGGCTGAGGCTGGAGCGCACCCCAGCATCTTGTGGGGAGGGGTGCACACAATCAGGACAGATGGCCTGGGCCTTTCCTGTTCAAGTGCCTCCAACAGCTCCTGTTTCCTCCCAGGCCAGCCTGGCCTCCGCAGCCCTCCAGCCCGCTCACTGCAGGGGATGGAAGAGGCTGGTCCTGCCAGGAGGTCTGAGTCCTGCCAGGCCTGGCCGTGGCGCATGGCCTCTGGGGTACAGCCTGCCCCGCAGGGCCTCTCCTCTGCACCTGATCCGGGGAGTCTGTGACTTACAACAACTCAGCAAGAAGCTGTTGCATTTCTCTGACCCCGAGCTCACGGCCTGGTGGCTGCCTCTGCTGCTGTGGGAGTGTGTGTGCCACCACGGTGTGCAGGGCAGCAGTGCCACAAGGGCCTCTGGGCAGGAACGGGGACTCCGGAGCCCAGGCCCAGCTGCTGGGTCCCAGTGCTTTGGGGGCCTGTCTCCACAGCTGGAACCACCCCCGCAGCAGAGGGGGCCTTTGGCCTTGGGGTCCCCTTGCTGCCCTGCTGCGCTCACCCAGTAGCTTCTCTGCCTGTGCACACCTGGCCCTGGAACACGAGTCACCCTCCGCTCTCTGGCACTTTGGCCTCTCCATGCGGGGTGCGTGGAGTTGGGTTTGGGGGTCCCACTCACTGGCATCCCTGTCAGCTCAGGCTGGTCACTGAGAGGGGCACTCTGAGGGGCCTCCTGGGTTCCTGGCTCTGTAGGGCACGCACGCTTGAGGGTGGGAGTGTCATGGGGCTGAGGTGGGACCGTCTTGACGTGGCCTGCAAAGTCTTCATGAGAAACCCACGGGTGTTTCAGTGGGACTTTGAATGACAAATAGGGTGGGAAAGATGGGTGTGGGGAGGAGGAGGTGCAGGCCGGAGCTGGGTCCCTGAGTCAGGTGGCGCTCGGGAGCGTCTGGGAGCCCAGCCAGCCGCAGCACAGGCCGGGGTGGGACTGGGAGAGACGGGAATGCAAACAGGGAACCCGCCGTGGCAGCCTGCTGCACTGGGCGGGAGCTGGGAGGGGCGACGCGGGGGCAGGCGCCAGGGGAGCGGGAAGGGGGTGCCCTGTCACCCTTGGGGAGTCTGAGCTCAGGGTGGGTACCCTGGGGGCTGTCCCTGCTCCTCAGAGGTTGTGTCTGCAGCCCAGTGCCCCCTGCTCGGGCCACGGCAGGCCTCACAGATGCTGACGTGGACGGCGGGTTCTGGGCAATGTCACTGCAGCCTGAGATGCCGCCTGCCTGTGGCTCCCAGGGCTGGGCCGCTGCCCACGCCGGGCAGGAGGCCAGTGGAGACGGGTGCCAGGGCAGCCTGAGGTCCCGCTTCGGTGCCCTGTTGACCTGCCTCCGTCCTCTGTCTGTCCAGGGCTCCCGGGAGCCAGGGGAGATGCTACCTCGGAAGCTGAAGCGGATCCTCCGGCAGGAGCACTGGCCGTCTTTTGAAAACTTGCTGAAGTGCGGCATGGAGGTATTCCTGGCCTGTTTGCTCTGTTCCACCTGTGTGTCCCCAGGGCTGCAGGACAAACACAGTGTGATACTGGGGACCTGCCCCAGCACCACTGGGTGGCAGCGGTCCCACCCAGCTTCACCAGGTGACGGTGGTCCCAGCCCCTGCCCCCACGTTGCACAGCTCCCAGAGGACCCGGAAGCATAGCTGTGTGCAGGGCCCCTCAGACATCTCGCCCTCCCTCTCTGTTCCATTTTCTCCTCTCTAAATCAAGGGGGATGGGCTGAGGACCCTTGCTGCCTTCGAGTGTGACAGCTGCTTGGAGGCCTGGTGCCGCCCTCCTCCCCACATCCACCCTTGCCTCGAGCACAGCTGCGCCCAAGGGTGCTGGGAAGCCAGCCCCTCCCTCAGACCTCGCCCCGACTCCCAAGCTCTGGAGGGGCCCTTCCCACATGCATGCCCAGCCTGGGGACCGACTGTACCAGGACTTTTTATTTACTTCTTTAGAAACCTCGATCTTTCCTTAGAAAGCCTCCATCTCCAGCTCTCTCACACAAATGCATGCACACTTTTTTTTTAATTTTTATTTTTGGAAACAAGGTCTTATTCTGTCACCCAGGCTAGAGTGCAGTGGTGCGATCTTGGCTTGCTGCAGCCTCCACCTCCCGGGCTCAAGCAATGCTCTTGCCTTGGCCTCCCAGGCAGCAGGGGCTGCAGCGGTGAGACACCACACCCGTCTAATATTTTGTATTTTTAGTAGAGACAGGGTTTGGCCATGTTGCCCAGGCTGGTCATGAACTGGGCTCAAGCGATCTGCCCACCTCAGCCTCCCAAAGTGCTGGGATTACAGGTGTGAGCCACTGCGCCCAGCCCTTTATGGACGCTCTTTATAAAAGCAGGCTACACGGGCCGGGTGCGCTGGCTCACACCTGTAATCCCAACACTTTGGGAGGCTGAGGTGGGTAGATCACTTGAGGTCAGGAGTTCGAGACCAGCCTGGCCAACATGGTGAAACCCCGTCTCTACTAAAAATACAAAAATTAGCCAGGCCTGATGGCGCACACCTGTAATCTCAGCTACTTGGGAGGCTGAAGCAGAAGAATTGCTTGAACCAGGCGGCGGAGGTTGCAGTGAGCCGAGGTTGCACCACTGCGCTCAAAAAAAAAAAAAAAAAAAAAAAAAGTGATCAATGCCATGGTGTGGAGCACTTCACAACATTGTGCAGCCACCACCTCTATCCGGTTCCAGAACGTTCCATCACCCCAGTCACCCCCAGCTCCTCCCCAGCACTCCCGCATCTGCTTCCCATCTCCTTGGATTTGCCGGTTCTGGGTGTCTGTTATGAGTGGACTCCTACAACAGGTGGCCTTTGAAACTGTCTTCCTTCACTGAGCAGACGTTTCCAAGGCGTTTCCAAGATCTCTGCAGGGCAAGGACGTGTCTGTCCAGGATGAAGCCCGCATTGGGCTGCTCCGCCTTGCAGGCCCAGGCAGGCTGGCGGGGGCTGGGGAGAGCTGGGCCGGGGTCCTGTGTGTGCTGGAAGCTGTGCTCAGAGCTGGGTCAGGGTGGAGGGCACGAGGTGGGCCGGGGCACCGCTCAGGTGTCCCTCGCTGTCGGGCTTACCCTGCCCTGCCCATCCAGGTGTACAAAGGCTACATGGATGACCCGAGGAACACGGACAATGCCTGGATCGAGACGGTGGCCGTCAGCGTCCACTTCCAGGACCAGAATGACGTGGAGCTGAACAGGCTGAACTCTGTATGTGCCTGGCCTCCCTGGAGGCGGGAGTGGGGAGGCAGGGACGGGTATGGGCGTGGCCTCCGGGGAGGGGGTTGGCAGGGATGGGGGTCTGGATTCTGGCAGGCTGAACTCTGTATGGGCGTGGCCTCCGGGGAGAGGGAAGGCGGGGACCGGGGTCTGGATTCTGGACGTGCCTCGAGGGCTTCCAAGGGAGGGACCTGGCCGTGCTCCTGGGGCCCAGGGCCAGAAACTGGAGGCTACAGGGTCAGAGTCTTGCCCAGAAAGTGACAAAGGGGGCACCAGGGAGAGGCCGGGGAGCCACCTCAGGTGGCCAGAGCTCACAGGGCTGGCCAGGCGACCATAGGGCCCTGTGTAGTTCTGGGACCTGGGTCCTCCAGGGAGGCCTCGAAGATGGCATCCAGGGGTGAGGCTGGCAAGGCCCCCTCAGCCCCCGGCTGCCGGCTTTTAGCTCTTTATGGGGATGTGGATTCCCAGTACTTGGATTAATCCTGCATGCTCCTAATTCAGAACTGGGATGGGAAATTCCATAAATAACCCCGGGCTTTAAATGCGGGCTAAATAGCTCCCGGCAAAGCTGCACCTGCATCTTCTTCCCCTGAAGGATCCTCAGGGCCTTGTGGGTGCATCTCTGGTGCACCTGACGCAGGGGTCCTGCCTCCCATTTCACAGAGGAGTAAAGGGAGGGTGTGCAGGCCCCAAGCCCTCGAAGGCTGCAGTCCGTAGGGCTCAGCTGGGCAGAGGCAGGGCTGGCGGGGAGGGTCAGCTGTGCCCTTGTTCTTCCAGAACCTGCACGCCTGCGACTCGGGGGCCTCCATCCGATGGCAGGTGGTGGACAGGCGCATCCCACTCTATGCGAACCACAAGACCCTCCTCCAGAAGGCAGCCGCTGAGTTCGGGGCTCACTACTGACTGTGCCCTCAGGCTGGGCGGCTCCAGTCCATAGACGTTCCCCCCAGAAACCAGGGCTTCTCTCTCCTGAGCCTGGCCAGGACTCAGGCTGTTCCTGGGCCCTGCACATGATGGGGTTTGGTGGACCCAGTGCCCCTCACGGCTGCCGCAAGTCTGCTGCAGATGACCTCATGAACTGGAAGGGGTCAAGGTGACCCGGGAGGAGAGCTCAAGACAGGGCACAGGCTACTCAGAGCTGAGGGGCCCCTGGGACCCTTGGCCATCAGGCGAGGGGCTGGGCCTGTGCAGCTGGGCCCTTGGCCAGAGTCCACTCCCTTCCTGGCTGTGTCACCCCGAGCAGCTCATCCACCATGGAGGTCATTGGCCTGAGGCAAGTTCCCCGGAGAGTCGGGGTCCCCTGTGGCCCCCTCAGGCCTATGTCTGTGAGGAAGGGGCCCTGCCACTCTCCCCAAGAGGGCCTCCATGTTTCGAGGTGCCTCAACATGGAGCCTTGCCTGGCCTGGGCTAGGGGCACTGTCTGAACTCCTGACTGTCAGGATAAACTCCGTGGGGGTACAGGAGCCCAGACAAAGCCCAGGCCTGTCAAGAGACGCAGAGGGCCCCTGCCAGGGTTGGCCCCAGGGACCCTGGGACGAGGCTGCAGAAGCTCTCCCTCCCTACTCCCTGGGAGCCACGTGCTGGCCATGTGGCCAGGGACGGCATGAGCAGGAGGCGGGGACGTGGGGGCCTTCTGGTTTGGTGTCAACAGCTCACAGGAGCGTGAACCATGAGGGCCCTCAGGAGGGGAACGTGGTAAAACCCAAGACATTAAATCTGCCATCTCAGGCCTGGCTGGCTCTTCTGTGCTTTCCACAAATAAAGTTCCTGACACGTCCAGGGCCAGGGGCTGTGTGACGGCTGCCTGAAGTTCTCCTCGATCCCCCGGTGAGCTTCCTGCAGCCTGTGGATGTCCTGCAGCCCCTCAGCCCTACCCCCAAGTTTCTCCTCTGACCCATCAGCTCCCTGTCTTCATTTTCCTAAACCTGGGCTCCAGCATCGTCCCCAAGCCCACCAGGCCAGGATGCAGGCATCCACATGCCCTCCTCCTTGGCTTCCCCTGCGTGGTGGTGCCAATGTGCCCTGGCACCCCTGCAGAGGCTCCGGATGGAGCCTGGGGCTGCCTGGCCACTGAGCACTGGCCGAGGTGATGCCCACCCTTCCCTGGACAGGCCTCTGTCTTCCACCTGACCCAAAGCTCTCTAGCCACCCCCTTGTCCCCAGGTATCCCCCTCACCCCATCAGCGTCACCAAGGACACAACTGACCCCTTATGCCCTGCTTAGAATCAGTCCCGTCACCAACTTTTGTGACGGAGTCACCTTGGGGTTTGATAAAAATGTAGATCTTCAGGCCCCTCTTGAAGCTCAGAGGCAGCAGGGCTGGGAGGTCCTGGAAGCTGCATCTGTGGTCAGCATCCGCCACTCCCAAGGGGCTCGCAGGTGGCGGGTTTGAACCACAAAGCAGCCTGGATGTGGCCCACCCCACCCCTCTCCAGCTCCCTCTCCTGCTGCAATGCAGCCTCCACGTGCAATGCAGCCTCCACGTGCAATGCAGCCTCCACGTGCAATGCAGCCTCCACGTGCAATGCAGCCTCCATGTGCAATCCAGCCTCCAGGTGCAATGCAGCCTCCACGTGCAATCCAGCCTCCAGGTGCAATGCAGCCTCCACGTGCAATGCAGCCTCCACGTGCAATCCAGCCTCCATGTGCAATGCAGCCTCCACGTGCAATCCAGCCTCCAGGTGCCACAGGGAAGGCCTGTGACTCCTCGGTTACTGGCCGTGGGTCCAGACCTCTGCCAGGGACCATGTTGTGCTCAGTGCTCCTGTTTCTAGCTGCACCATCGGGCTGAGCTCCCACTGTCTGGGGCTGGTCTCGGCTCTGTGTCTGCAGGATCTAGAAACACCCATGCTGAAGGTGGCACCCAGGGAAGGGGTGGGGGCTGTGCCTGGGGGTCAGACCAGAGAGGGACGCCACCAAGGGGATGGGCGTCTGCTCTGCTCACTTGAAACACCCATGACACGAACTTCGCCATTGGAACCATTTCAGCTGCACAGTGCAGTGGCCGTAGACACTCACACGGCTGTCCCCCATCACCACCGTGCCCCCTGCTCTGCCCACTCCTAGAAGCGCTGCTCCTCCAACCCGGGGCTGCTGCCTACTCCAGCAGTGCCCCCAGGGGGCCCCGTGGCTGAGCTGTCTGTGGGTGCCTGCTTGGGCCCAGCCACACACCAACAGCGGCTCTGTGGGAGGAAGTTTTGCCTCCTTTTGTAGAGGGACCTGGGGTGCGGAGAGGGCAGAGGGCTTGCTCAGTCCTCTCAGCAGCTGCTGGCAAAGCCAGGCCTGGACCCAGCTCTCCTCGGCTGTGCCGTGCAGCAGCCACAGAGGTCAGCGGCTCTTCGAACCAAATGGGAAACCAGGACATGCCTGGTGGACCACGGACTTTTTGCGAGTCAGGCATGAGGCCTTCTGATCATTCACTCATCCCTTCCTACCTGGTTGCTGAGCCTGTCTGTGCCCTGGGGATGGGGATTTGAGGGGTGCAGTGATGAATAAAACCCATCCCTGCCCGAGGGCCTCACAATCCTGGATGAAGTCCACTCAGGACCGCAGGAGCCGGACCGGGTCGGAGGCCGGGGAAGAGCAGGCATTCCAGCGGAGGAGTCAGCTGGCTTCTCCAGTGAGGCGGCTGAGAGTGAAGACTCCAAGGGCAGAACAAACAGCAAATGGGAGACAGGCAGGGGCACGTTCCACAGCACAGACGTGGGCCAGCCCGCTGGGGGCAGTGTGGAGCAGGCAGTGCCCTCATCCAGGACCTCAGCATTGAAGGAAGCGAGGGTTCTGTGAACCGTGGTCTCTTAGAGGTCACTGCCCTCTGAGGGAAGAGCTCACAGTGAGCAAGATCTGGGTGGGGGCTGGCGGGAGGGTGAGCGGAAGCTGGCTGAATGCAGACACGATGGCCAGAGCTCCAGCAGCCTTCTGGGGCCATGAGGATGAGGCACCCGCCGGGTGTGGTGGAGTGGGAGGTGACAGGCTCTTTAGGGCCCCGCCCTCCAGAGTCCTTTCTTATGTGAGAAGGGAATACTGTGTGTTAAAGCCACTGTTATTTTGGGTGCCAACCAATTTTAACCTAAAATTGGTTAAATATGCAGCCAACCAATTTTCATGGAATCACTAGACAACCCAGAACCATCAAATGTTTGAGGAAAACCAATCACTACCAAAAAGGGGCCCCCAAAGTCAGCAGGTATCAAGGAAGCAGAGCAAACAACACCCTCGAGAAAAGGGCAGTACGTCTTCACAGGTTTATTTATCCATAGAGAAGATACAGCCTTAAAAACGGAACTGAAAATATAAATATGAAAAATGTGACATCCAAAAAAAATTAAAAAGTGATGGGGTGAATAACAGGAAGAAAAGGCTGAAGAACGAACTTGTGCCTGGAACACACAGTCAAGGAATTCTCCACTTTGTGATGTCAGCTTTCCTCAAATATCTGGGGATGCTTTATTGCTTCCTTTGCTTTGTACTTGAAAATGCCCAAGTTTTTTTGTACACAGCAGAGCGAGATAGAGGGAAAGTATGAAAAAAAAAAAAAAGGAAATGGAGGACGAAGCCAGACATTCCAACATCTGCACACTGAGAGTTTCAGAAGAAGAACAGGATTGATGGGAGGGAAATAATGCACACCTGGGCCCTGTGGGCCCCGCGACGGAAGCTCTGCCTGCTCCTCACGGTTTCTCCCGGCGCCCAGAGCAGCGGCTGTTACAGAATCGGCTCTCCGTGAATGAGACACGAGATATGTCTTCATCTTCATAAAATTTTAGAACAATGAGGGCAAAAGGAAAGATTTAAAAACCACTATGGGCTGGGTGCGATGGCTCATGCTTGTAATCTCAGCACTTTGGGAGGCCGAGGTGCGTGGATCACCTGAAGTCAGGAGTTCGGGACCAGCCTGACCAACATGGTGAAACCCCGTCTCTACTAAAAATACAAAAATTAGCCAGGCGTGGTGGTGCATGCCTGTAATCCCAGCTACTCAGGAGGCTGAGGCAGGAGAATCGCTTGAACCCAGGAGGCGGAGGTTGCAGTGAGCCGAGATCACGCCATTGCACTCTAGCCTGGGAGACAAGAGGGAAACTCCATCTCAAAAAAAAAACAAAACAAAACACCAACATGATAAAAAACCAAAACAAGAAAACCCATCCCCAGGCTTCCCCACAGCAATGGGTGAGAGAAGAGGGTGTCCCAGAGTTCCCAGGTGACTGGCTTTTTGTCTAGAGTCACAGACCCGGCCACGCAGGCCTTCAGGTGGCAGCGTCCCCAGGTGACTGGCTTTGTGTCTACAGTCACAGACCCGGCCACGCAGGCCTTCAGGTGGCAGCGTCCCCAGGTGACTGGCTTTGTGTCTAGACTCACAGACCCGGCCACACCCAGTGACAAAATGTGAGGATGCAGAAAATGTCACCCATGCATCCTTCCTGAACGAGTTTCTCAAAGGTGAATTACAGAAAACAAAACAAAATGAAAGAGAACAAAGCACAGAGCACTGCAGGCTGCCCAGGCTGTTGTAGCAAAATGCCACAGGCCGGCTGGTCAAAACCTAGAAGCGATTCTTCTCGCTGTTCTGGAGGCTGGAAGTCCACGATCAAGGTGCTGGCAAATTCAGTTTCTGGGGAGCGCTGTCCTAGGTGGCCATGGTTAACAATGCTGTACTGGATGCTGGACATGGGCTGAGAGGATAGATCTTAAGTGTTCTCAACACACACAAAGAAAATAAAAGAAGCTGGTGCGGTGGCTCATGCCTGTAATCCCAGCACTTTGGGAGGCCGACGGTGGGTGGATCACTTGAGGCCAGGAGTTCAAGACCAGTCTGGGCAACATGGCGAAACCCCATCTCTACTAAAAATACAAAAAAAAAAAAAAACAAAAAAAACTAGCTGGACATGGTGGCACGTGCCCATAGTCCCAGCTACTGGGGAGGCTGAGGTGGCAAGATTGATTGAACCTGGGAAGCAGAGGCTGCAGTGAGCCAAGATTTCACCACGGCAGTCCAGGCTGGGCGACAAAAAAAAAAAAAAAAAGAAAATATTTTAGGTTGGTGCAAAAATAATTGCTTCTAATTGCAAACACCGCAGTTACTCTTTTCACCAACTTGGTAGTCACTGTGAGGTGTGAGCATGTGAAATAGCTTGACTGCAGTGATCATTCACAGCGTGTATCAGAACATCAAGTCATACACCTTAACTATACACAATTCCTATTTGTGAATTATATCTCAGTAAAGTTGAAACAATTTTATAGAAATTTAATAATAGCCTAGAATTAAACTTCCAGACGGCCTCAGCGGGGGTGGCAGAGGAGACTTGTGAAGGCAGCTGAAGTGCAGTGGCTTCCCTGTCTTGCTCTGGAGGAAGAATCAGACGCTGGCCACACATGAGTGCTGGGGAAACGTGGGCTTAAAAATGCAGGAAGTAAACCTCAGGGCATCACTAGAAGGATAGAAATAGAGGAATGACTTTAAACCACTGGAGGAATAAAATGAAACAACAAAATCAAGGAAAGAAAAAATATCACTAAAGAATGGTTAATATGAACCAAAATGGCAGGAAACAGTCAAACCGTAACAGTAATAACCACGCATGTAAGTGGCGAGTCTCATATTGGGATAAAGACATAACACAACTAGTTCCTGCTATTTTCCATCCACAAAAGACTCACCCGAAACTAGAGGGACGCATAACCGCTGAAAACGGGGACGTCTACACCAGGCAAATGCTCTCAGAAAGCAGGACGTGGAAACGGTCATCACAGACCAACAGAACGGAAGGCTAAGTTTGTCCTTTTAAGGAACAAAGAGGAAAGTGTAATTGGATAAAAGTACAAATGCATTAGGAAGATACTATGATCATGGTCTATTATGTAACATGGATATTATAATATTATAATATATAAGGCAAAAACTATATATAAATATATAAGGCAAAATTCTTAAATTTATAAGGCAAAATGGAAATTCAAGAAGAAACTGGCAAAGTCACAGCCATTGCTGAAGTCTTTGCAGATTTCTCTCAGAAATTAAAGCAATCAAGAAGCACAAGGAAGCCAGGCGTCATGGCTCACACCTACAATCCCAGCACTTCGGGAGGCTGAGGCCGGTGGCTCACTTGGGGTCAGGAGTTTAAGACCAGCCTGGCCAACATGGCAAAAGCCCATCTCTACTAAGAACACAAAAATTACCCCTGCATGGTAGTGCGTGTCTGTAATCCCAGCTACTCAGGAGGCTGAGGCAGGAGAATCACTTGAACCTGGGAGGCGGAGGTTGCAGTGAGCTGAGCTCATGCCACTGCACACTCCAGCCTGGGAAACAGAACGTGACTCTGTCTCAAAAAAAAAAAAAAAAAAAAAAGCACAAGGAGAAGAGGGCAGAACTGGAATGTAGGCAGTGGAGATTGCGGTTGCCCTGTGGGCATGTGTACATGCGTGTGTATACCTACAGATATGGATGTCTGTGTGCCTGTCTGCATTTATATGTACACGTATCTTGATGGATTATGGATTATTACATATTGTGCATATAACTCGTGTAATATGCATGAACACACATGAACGATACGTGAGCAAACACTATGGATCCATATAGTGTGTGATTCTGCACCTGCTCTGCTGCAAACAGGTCCTGAGGAGACACTTCATCTTCAGACACATCTGCATGTGCAGACGGAACATGAACAGTCTCGTAGAGAGGGGGCCCCAGCAAGTTTCCAAAGCACCCCCACCCTGCTGGAAACACTCTCCAGCCACAACCTCAGGAGAGTCATGCTAGGACGCGGGGGGCGTGCCGTGAGAGGACAGCAGGCGTGAGTGGATCTCCAGGCACCCTCGGACCCTAAGCGCCCAGCCCTGGCCAGCTCAGCAATGGCACTGTCGGCCGGCCAGCGGGCCCCACTGGGAATGCAGCCCTCCTTGCCCTTTGCCCTCTGTGAGGGGCTTCTGTCCTCACCATCAGATTGTGACAGGAGGCCTCACCTCCTTCTGTTTCCCAGGCTGGGTGATCATGGGGAGGGCAGGGCCACTGGGAGAGTGGAGGCTGTCCTGCGACTCAGCCACAGGGATTTGGGGGAAGGAAGTGAGGACTTTGAGCTGGGCATGCTGTCCTCCCTAACAAAGCAGGGATTCTCTCCGGAGAGCCAGAGGGGCTAAAGCAGCTTCCCCCAGAACCCCCCTCACATTGCCTCCAGCTGGGACGCCCTGCAGGTCCAGTGGGGGAGAAATGAGACATGAGAGAGAACGAGAGGGTGTGTGCCACCCAGCAGGCGCGTCTCTCTGAGAGAATGAGAGGGTGCAGGCCACCCAGTGGGTGCCTCTCTCTGGCGTGGCTGGAGGGCTTTCAAAGGAACATTCATAACCTTAAATGCACTTGTTTGGAAATAAAAAGACTGAAATAGATGGTCTAAGTTTCTGACTCAAGAGGCTAAAAAAATAGCTACAAAATAAATCCAGAGGTGAAGATGAAGACAATGTCGGATTTTAATGAAATAGGAAAAAATAAAGAACTGGTGTGATAAATATATTCAAAAACCAGTTCTTGGAAGATATCAACAAAAACGACAAAGCTTAGACGACTCAGAGCAAGGGAAAGCCAGAGATCGGGGTGGGTGTGGCGTGCAGGAGAGCCCACAACAAGGGGGGGTTCCAGAATCCAAGGGAGGACCCCGGGAAATGGGACAGGCTGGGAGCCAGGGGCGAGGAGGTGGCTCAGGTGGCTAGGGGGCCTTTGGGGAAGGATGGCCTGGCTGCACAGACCGTGCTCGCTGGCCCAGGAGGGAACATAACCGGTCCAGATTTTCAAGATTGACAGAGAAATCCAGGAATTCAGGGAGCTTAGGGGAAGGCTCGGTCTGGCCAAAGCCACTGAGGACCAATTGGCTGAAAGGCAATTCATGAGGGCGGACGCCCTGGAGAGTGTGGCTGCTCCAGCCCAGCCCTCGTGGACTCCTCTTGGCAGCCCTGGCCCTCACCACGGTGCTGCCCCTGCCCTGCCTGTGAGATGGCCGGGGGCTCTGTCTGAGGGTCCCCACGCTGAGTGAGGGGCAGGGGCTGGGTCAGGAGGGACGAGTGTGGAGGCAGGGCAGCAGAGGGCCCCGGAGGGCAGCAGGGTGGTCAGCCTGCACCCAGCGGCTGGCCGTGGCAGTGGGGCAGGGCTCATCCGAGGCCGCTCTGTCTCTCTGAGTGTGGGGTGGGCAACCCCGGCTCCTTCACCCAAGATGTTTTATTCATTTGCCTGATGGCATCCCAGCCCCGTGGAGGCTGCAAGTGCAGCTCCTCCACGCCAGTCCCCAGCGAGACGCACTCAGACCTCTCCTGGCCAGATGCCCTCGCGGCTGGGAGAGTGATTAACCAGCTGGAGCAGCTGCATTTTACCCCCAGACCACAAGGCTGGATCCTGGGCAGATAAGGGAGTGAGATGCTCAGCCCTCAACTCAATCACAGCCATGAGGGAGGCCACAGCGCTCAGACCAGGGAGGCAGGAGGAGGCTTCTGGTGTTTTTGAGAGCACAGGCTGTGTGCAGGGCCCTTGGAGACGGCTGACGTCTTCACCAAATGGGGCAGGCCACACACGCAGAACCCAGGCGACCCAAAGAAGGCACTCACCACGTGGCTTCAGGCAAGTGCCCCTGACTCAACAATCGGTCAATCAGTGCATACACTGTGAACACCGGGAAGAGTCTGTGACCGGCGAGCACGCCGCACATCTGCCTTGTCTTGACGGTGGCATCACCCACACTTAGTCATGCACACACCTCTTAGGCGTGAGCAGCTGATGGGTTACTGATGTCAGCAACCAGCACCCAGTCATCTCCAGCCCCCAGAGCCCTGGAGCCCCTGCATTGTTGTCCCCATGCTTCTGACCTCCTCACCCCCCACGAGTCTCCTCTGCTCTTGAACCTCCCCAGTCGGAACCTGGCCAGGTGTCCTTTGCATGCCTGGCCTCCTTCACTCTTGGTAACGTCTGCGGATTCATTCCTGTCTACGCTGCAGTGTTCAGTGGCAACTGCATGAATTCACTGAAAATATACTGTAACGTTTGGGTTTGGCTGTGGCATCTCTTCCACTTTTAACATACCAACTTCACAGCTCACATTATTTTAATCCCTTTAAAAGATAATTGATTTAAAGCAAAAATCATAACAATGTGTTGTGGGGTTTATGACACACGAGAAGGTGTGATGGTGATGGTGTAGGGTCCAGGTGAGGGTGGGGGCACCCCGCTGTGGGGATCTTACAGTGTGCCTGACCGGCTGGCACAGGAGAAGCCGGGACAGGAGAAGCCGGAGGTAGGTCACTCTCCACCCTGGGGCAGCCACTGACAGCAGAGTCGCTGCGGAGGGGCCAGGCGGGGAACACACACGGAATCCTAAGGAAAACCTGAGGCTGGAAGAGAGGACAGAGGAACAGGGCTGTGTGGAGCGGCCAGGGAAGAATCAGCACACACCGGGCCCGGCCAGAGCGCTCGTCACCTCAAAACAAGGTCATCAAAGCCAGAATCACCCCAGCAAAACAGCGCAAGCTGGACCGCTGCCCTCACTCAGCTTCTACAGTTTCTCTGCTCGTGTTCTTTGTCCCTTCCAGGATTCCACGCTGCTTTTAGCTGTCACTTCTCCTGTCTTCTGTTGCCTTCCATGAGCTTTTTGCCTTTGAGTGCACTGACCAGTCACTTTGTATGGTGTCTCTCAGTTTGGGTGTGCCCAGGATGTTCTCACGATCGGAATGCGGAGATGCATTTTTGGCAGGAATATCGCAGAAGTGACGTCCTTCTCAGGTTGTTGTATCAAAGGTACGTGATGCCAATCTACCTTGCCACTGATGGCCCGAGCTTTGTCACATAGATAAGGTGGTTTCTGCACTGAAAAGCTGTTATTACTTTTTTAGGTTAATAAATATGTCAAAGCAGATACTTTGATCCTATGGAAATCTCCAATGAAGCTAATTTAAGTATAAGACACACTAGGTAAAAAGTAACAAGGTAAAAGAAGATATCCCATGCTAAACTAATCAAAGGAAAGCAGGAGTCAATTTCAAGTCAGAGTCTAGGGATAAAGAGGGTCATTTCATGATGACACAGGGGTCAACCAGTCAGGAGCATGCACGATGTGAGCACAGAGTCTCAAAACACATGAAGCAAAAGCTGATAGAGCTGCAAGGAAAAATTACAGACAAATCTGCAATTACAGTCAGAGGTTTCAACACCGCTATCAAGAATTTGTTTGTTTGAGACAGGGTCTTGCTCTGCCACCCAGGCTCAAATGCAATGGCACAATCACGGCTCACTGCAGCCTTGACTTCCTGGGCTCAAGAAATCCTCCTGCCTCAGCCTCCCAAGTAGCTAGGATTGCAGGCATGCGCTGCCATGGATGGGTGAGTTTTTGATTTTTTGTAGAGATGGTGTCTCACTTTGTTGCCCAGGCTGGTCTCTCAATAATTAGCAGAGCAAGTAGACAGAAAGTGGATGATAATATGGGCTACTCAAATAACACAGTCATTGCCGTTTATAGGACACCTCGTGGAGCAACAGTACACAAATTCAAGTGCGCATGCAACAACCGCCAACCATAATCGGGGCCATGAAAGAGTCTCAATAAATTTAAAAGGATCCGAAACATAGAATATGTCCTCTGACAACAATGGCTTTAAAGTAATGATCAACAGCAGAAAGAGCTCTGGAAAATGCACAGATATGTGGAAGTGAAATAGCATAGCTCTAAACTCATGGGTCAAAAAGGAAATCAAAGGGAAAATTATAAATTATTTTCAACTTAATGAAAACAAAAATACAACATATCAAAATTTCTGGGATGCAGTTAAAGGTGGACTTAGAGGGAAATTTATAGTACTGAATGCTTGTACAGATCAGTGACCCCAGCTTCCACCTTAAGAGACCTAAAAAAGAAGAGAAAGTCAAACCCAATGTAAGCAAAAGAGGCTGGGTGCAGTGGTTCATGCCTGTAATCCCAGCACTTTGGGAGGCCGAGGTGGGTGGATAACCTGAGGTCAGGAGTTCGAGACAAGCCTGGTCAACATGGTGAAACCCCATCTCTACTAAAAATATACAAAAATTAGCTGGGCATGGTGGCACATGCCTGTAATCCCAGCTACTCAGGAGGCTGAGGCAGGAGAATCACTTGAACCCGGAAGATGGAGTTTGCAGTGAGCCGAGATTGCCCCCACTGAACTCCAGCTTGGGCAACAAGGCAAGACTCTGTCTCAAAAACAAAAACAAAAACAAAAACAAACAAACAAAAAAACAAGCAAAAGAAAGAATAAAGAGTGGAAGTCAATGAAAAAAAAGTGCATCAACGAAACCAAAAAGCTATTTCTTTGAGAAGATCAATACAATTGATAAACTGCTATCTGATTGTTCAGTTAAAAAAAAAGCCACAATTGCCAGTATCAGAAATGAGAAAGATGACATCACCTCATACTTCACAGATGTTGAAAGGATAAAGGAATATTATGAACAACTTTATGCTAATAAATTCAACAACTTATATGCGATGGGCAATTTCTTGAGCGATACAAACTACATACATTCAGTCAAGAATAAAATAAACTCAGCAGTTGTATATCCATTAAATAATTCAACCACATATAAAAATGATAATACATCATGACCACGTGGGCTTTATCCCAAGAACACAAGATTGATTTAACACTTTAAAATCAATCATTATACTCTATCATATTAATAGATCATCACGCAAAAAGATTCTCAATAGATGCAGAAAAAACAAAATCCAACTTTCATTCCTGATTAAAAAGACTCTCAGCAAACAAGAGAAAGGATAGTCTTTTCAACAGTCTGGAAAAAACTGATTATCCACATACACAAAAAATAAACATTGAATCATATCTCATACTATAAACCCAAATAAACTTAAAATAGGTAATAGACCCAAATGCAAACCTTTAAAACTCTAAAACCCTTGTGA
Source organism: Homo sapiens (assembly GCF_000001405.40). Classification (NCBI taxonomy): domain Eukaryota; kingdom Metazoa; phylum Chordata; class Mammalia; order Primates; family Hominidae; genus Homo; species Homo sapiens. Next base: position 44,453,845 of record NC_000021.9, read on the forward strand.
CTTTGGGTGAGGCAAAGATTTCTTATATATGACACCAAAAGCAGGATCCATAAAAGAAAAACATAAATTGGATTTCCTCAAAATTAAAAAATTCTGCTCTTTGAAAAACTGTTAAGAGAATGAACACACAATCCAAAGGCTTGGAGAAAGCATTTACAGATCACATATCTGATAAAGGACTTGTATCCAGAATATGCAACAAACTCCCAAACTCAATAATAAGAAAATAAACAACCCAATTAAAAGTGAGTAAAAGATTTGAACTCAACGCTTACTACAGGAGATGGAGAATAAACAGATGAAATGATGCTCAACATCATTGGCCAACAGGGAAACGCAAATTAAAACCACAGTTCCATCTATCACCACACACCTATTAGAGTATTTGAAATTAAAAAGACAAACCATACCAAGTGCTGGGGAGGATGTGGAATGTAAAACCATACAATCGCTTTGGCAGTTTCTTAAAAAGTTTCACATATGGCTACCGTGGCATCCAGCCACTCCACTCCTAGACATCTATTCAAGAGAAAGAAAAGCATTCATCCAAAGACTTGTGCACAATGTTCGGATCAGCTTTATCTGTAAGAGCCAACACCAGAAACAACCCAAATGCCCACCAGCAGGTGAATGGACACAAACTGTGGTACATTCATACACTGGAGTACCATGCAGCTGTAAAAGAAATACGCATTGACAAACCAAATGACGCAGGCAAATCTCAAAAATAATTGTGCTGAGTGAAAGAAGCTACACAAAAAGTACATATTATATGATTCCATTTGTGCAAATCATAGGAAATGCAAAGTAATCAGTAGTGACAGAATGCAGATCAGTGCTTGCCTGGGGATGAGGGAGGGCAGGGAGAGATGACCAAGAGGGAACCCGGGGTGTTCACTATGCTGATTGTGGTGATGGTTTCACAGGAGTATCCGAGTGTTAAAACGTACCAAATTGAAATATGTGGCTTACCGTCTGTCAATTACACCACAATAAGGCTACTTTTTGAAAACCATGAGGATGGCTCAGGTCCGGCTCAAATGCCCCCACCCTGCGTTCCTTCCTTGGGATGTCAGACGCTGGAGCTGGAGCAGAAGGGGACCTAGATGGGCGGAGATCTAGCCCTACTCACCCACTGGCCACGGGGTAGGCGAGGGACGCTCAGCAGGGGCTTCCCGCAGACCCAGGGTCTTCAAGCCCCAGAAGTCCTGATGCCAGAGGGAAGAGGGGATTTGCCCAGAGTGAGGGGCAGGGGCTGGACCCACAGCCCCTCCCGGCGCGCAGACCCCGCCCCCACCCATAACCACGCCCTCAGCCCCCACCACCTCGTCCTCAGCCCCACAACCACGCCCCCAGCATGCCACAATTACTCCCACAACCCGCCCACAGCCCCTGCGACCTGGGTCTTAGTACCAGCTCCATCTAAAGCCGCACCACCGGCCCCTCCCATGCCCCTCCCATGCCCCTCCCCCATCTCTTCCAGGCCCCGCCCTGCCGCAGAACCCGCCCTCAAGCCCCGCCCCCGCCTAACCACAAATCCCGTTCCGGTCTCCTTACATGCCCCGCCCCTTCCCCGCCCCCGCGGGGAATCGACACAGCCTGTCTCCGCCTTTCGCCCCGCCCCCTCCAGGCCCCGCCCCACCCCGCCCCTCGCCCGCGCAGGCCGGAGTCGCGGCCTCCCCAGCTAGTGGTCGCGGGCGCGGTCGCAGGGGCAGCGGGGTGGCCGCCGCGCCAGGCGTGGAGCTGGGTCTGGCGGGCTCCGAGAGGCCCGGGAGCGGCGCGCAGAGCAGCCTCCGGCCGCCGCCGCGCAGGTAAAGCCCCCGCCCAGCCCTGGGAGCGTGGATTCCCACCCACCCCATGACCATCCCCCCGCCGCGAGTGCTGGGGTCTCGGGGGTCCCAGGTTCCGGGGGTCCTAGGGCCGGAGGGTCTAAAGGCTGGAGGTCCTGGGGGTCCGAGCCTCTCCCGGCCGGCTCCGCGCGCGGCCCCGCCGTCCACGCCCAGCGCGGGCCGCGCGCACAGGGCTTGGCTTCTCTGTTTTCTCGGTTTCCTTCTTCAGGCAGTTGAAAGAAAAGGCGCGGTTCTGTGCCCGGTGCGAGCCGCGGCTCCTTTAGGGCTGGCAGGGAAGGGCTTGCTGGGTTATGACAGTTTTTAGGGGTTGTCGGAGTCAGCCAGGCGTTGGCTGCTGGAGTAGCCCCTGGCGCGCGAGCGCCCGCTGGTGCCCGGCCACGTGCCCAGCTTGACCCGCGCTCCAGGTTCGGGAGAAGCTGCAGCCGTCACCGTCCTCCTGGCGTCCACCCTGAGGAGGGAGGGGCTGGGTGGTCCAAGCCGCCGCCACTCCGCCGCCCGGCCTTTGGTCCCCAGCGGTGCTGTAGGTGGCCAGGGGTGGCCGCAGTGACCACCCACTGGGCCATGCGGAGCCCCCTGGCAGTGCCAGCTCCCTGCACTTGTGGGACGCTCCTCCCGGGCGCATTGGGAGTCTCCAGAAGTAAGTTACAGGCAGAGCTGTTTAAGGAGGCGTGCTCCCCACCCCAGACCCTTCAGTGGGCCCTCAACACCCTCCCCACCAGTGGACGCGTTTCCCAGGTGACCGCAGCCGGCAGTGCTGACCACCCTCCCTCCCTCTCCGCTCCCTCCTGCGTCTTCCCTTTCAGAGCTGCCAGAGTGGACTGCACTGCTTCTCCCAGCGGGGCAGGATGGCGGTTTCATGTCTGGTTGGATAAGGCCTTGCCTGCGGAAACCAGCTCCATCCCCAGGCCCTAGCAGAGGCTCGCGTGTCCCCGTCCCCAGGTCAGGTCAGGATGGGCACCGTGCGCCCACCTCGCCCCTCGCTCCTGCTGGTCTCCACCCGGGAGTCTTGTCTCTTCCTCCTCTTCTGCCTGCACCTGGGCGCCGCCTGCCCACAGCCCTGCCGGTGCCCTGACCACGCAGGGGCTGTGGCTGTCTTCTGCAGCTTGCGGGGCCTTCAGGAGGTCCCCGAGGACATCCCGGCCAACACCGTGCTCCTGAAGCTCGATGCCAACAAGATCTCCCACCTCCCGGACGGGGCCTTCCAGCACCTGCACCGGCTCAGGGAGCTGGATCTGTCTCACAACGCCATCGAGGCCATCGGCTCCGCCACCTTCGCGGGCCTGGCCGGGGGCCTGCGGCTGCTGGACCTGTCTTACAACCGCATCCAGAGGATCCCCAAGGACGCCCTGGGCAAACTCAGCGCCAAGATACGCCTGTCCCACAACCCCCTGCACTGCGAGTGCGCCCTGCAGGAGGCCCTGTGGGAGCTGAAGCTGGACCCCGACTCTGTGGACGAGATCGCCTGCCACACCTCAGTGCAGGAGGAGTTTGTGGGGAAGCCTCTGGTTCAGGCTCTGGATGCGGGTGCCAGCCTCTGCAGCGTCCCCCACAGGACCACAGACGTGGCCATGCTGGTCACCATGTTCGGCTGGTTCGCCATGGTGATCGCCTACGTCGTGTACTATGTGCGCCACAACCAGGAGGATGCCCGGAGGCACCTGGAGTACCTGAAGTCTCTGCCCAGCGCCCCCGCCTCCAAGGACCCCATCGGCCCGGGGCCCTAGCGCCTGTTCCGGCAGACCCCCGCCGGTGGCTGCTGTCACTTTTGTAGTAGGTGGTGACTGATGCTGCTTTTGCTCTTCCCTGAGGCAGGTGTCACAGCCATGTGTGCTCCCCACTGTTGCACTCAGGCACAGCAGCACCTCCAGGCTGGGTGGTTTTGCCACACATCCGTGTGACGGATGAGGAACCTGAAGCTTAGAGGAACGGAATGACTGCCCGTGACGATACCATCAGGAAATTATCCCAGTGGAACTTCAACCCGGGCTGTCCATCGTGACATTCCGCCTCCTTCCACCATGCCAGCCTCTCCCACACGGGGCCCTGCAGGCTGTGGATATGCACTCAGAGGACTAAGGGGGTGCTCTGCAAGCGAGAGGGTTCACCAGAGGGAGCTTGGGTGCAGGTTCACCCGCTGAAGGCGCTGATAAGTCCTGTGCTGAGGAGCTGACTTGCCCTTGTTTACTTACAAAGTGCATTGTAGGTAAACATGAGCCTTGTTCCAGTGTTCGAAGTACATTGGAACGTAAGCCCTGTTTCCAGAGCAAAGTAACAGAGACCAGGTTTTTCTAGAGAGCTAAGTGGGATGTGTAGCTCAAACAAACTGTCCTACCCTTTTTTATTCTCAAATGTTTGTTTTGAGTAACCGTAGTGCCAAAATTTCAGTTCAGTAATGGGGTGAACAATATGGAGAGAGACCTGGGAAAAGTCCAGGGTAGCTTGCCCAGGGGAAGACAGCAGCCACATACCTGGGGGCCCGCCTGCTTCCTGCCCCTCTGGGTGTGCCTGATGCGGGAGGCCCTGCCCCAGGGCGATCTCAGCTCACTGCAACCTTTGCCTCCCAGGCTCAATCACTTCTGCTGCCTCAGCCTCCCTAGTAGCTGGAATTACAGGCATGAGCCACCACGCCTGGCTAATTTTTGTATTTTTAGTAGAGACCGGGTTTCACCATGTTGGCCAGGCTGGTCTCGAACTGTTGGCCTCAAGTGATCCGCCCGCCTCAGCCTCCCAAAGTGCTGGGATTACAGGCGTCAGCCACCGCGCCCGGCCCTGTGCCTTGCTTTTTCTACTCACTAAGATATAAAACAGCTCTTTTTCCAAGGCCCGGAGTACTGGGGATTGATGTTTCAAGGCCAATCAATGGGATGCTTCGTTTTCTCCAGCAACAGGAACTCTCTCTTTTCACCTTTGCTGCCAGGAATCTCAGAGATAATTTAGTGCTCAATTTACTAACCTTACTTCACATTCAGGTTAGATGTTACCTCCACCTATATGATAGTAATTCCTAATTTTATTTTTTATTGTCCTTTTTATGAGTGTTTATATTTTAAAGTACTTTGAGTATTTTTGGGGGGGGTGTAAATGAGTGATCAGTGTACATTGTGTGTGGACTGAAGTGTAGGTATGTAGAGATGCTTCGCCAAACAGATGCTTAAAAATGAATGGAAGTTGAGGGTGGTTTCTCTTTGGAAAGTATCAGGTGACTTGGAAGGTGAGAGCCTGTCCAGGGTGTGTGCACTGGTTCTGAGGTACCCCGTGTGTGCAGTGTGAGTCACGGGGGTGTCTGTGTTGTGAGGTGCTTGGTAGGCTTTGCTCTGCCCACAGTGCAGACGCGGGGTGGGTGAGGGGCCAGGCCCAGTGTATGAGTGGAGGCAGCCCCAGGCTCCGCCTGCTTCCCTCACGCCACGCTGCCTGAGTGTCGCCATGCTCGGAGGACAGAGACCTCCACGGAAACTGGCAGCGCCACTCACCCTTCCAGTGAGAGCTAGAACCAAGTGCCAGCCCCCGGGGGTGCACCCGTGCTGGTGTGGGGCCACGTGGTCCTTGTGGTCCAGGCAGGGCCAGCATGTGGCGGGGTGTCCAGCTCCACTGTTTGGAGGAAGTGGGCGCTGACACAGCAGAGTGCCCTGGGCCCGTGGGGATTTCCTTCCAGAGGACACGTGGCTGAAAGCATAGGATAAGGATGTATAGGTGAATGACTGGTGCCATCCCTGGCTGTCTGATAGATGCAGGTAGGGCAGGTGAACTGTTGCTGGCCTGGCCAGCAGGCCTAGGGTCACATGGTGATTGGCGTCCTCCTGCCACCCCTTCTCCATGCCAGGGTGCCTGTGGTGGGTTTGCCCAGCACGCATGACCCCAGGTCCCAAGGAGAGTGTGAACTGAGGCCTGGGTGGTGAAGGCAGGGCCTCTCCTCAGCCCTGTGTCCTGTGGGTGCCAGCCAGTCCCATCTCGCATTTTGGGGTGCCCTTTCCCTGCTGCCAGGGGACTCTTCATTTGTCCTTACCCTAGAATCAGCCCAGACACTGGACATCACCCAGACGTGGCCCTTCAGGAGGTGCACAGGGCAGGGGCAGGCCCGTCCCTCCCTGCCCCAATTTGCTGGGCTGCCTCAGCCCAGGGTCTGGCCTTCTCCTTGGTGAAGGTCTGCTGGGCCCCTGTCCACCTCCTGCTGGGAGGAGGAGATGGGGAGAGGACCAGGAGGACACCGGAGGCCCTGTCCCCTGCACTGTGAGCTCAGTCAGGTCCATGAGCTGCCCACCGTCCTGGCCTTACTGTGCCCCCTGCCCCACCAACATAGGTGAAAGCACCTCCCCTCTAAGGAAGACCATAGAGACCCCAACACTGTGGGACCCCAAAGCTCCTTCATGCTCACTGGAGCTCCCACCGTGGGTGCTTGCAAGTCCTCAGCGCTCCCGGGGTACAGCCCTCCCCTTCCTGCCCTCTAATGTCCTCCCCTCCCTTGCCCTTCCCTCCACTTCCTTTCTCTGCCGTCCCCTCCTCTCCCATCTTGTGACCTCTTTACTGGCGGGGCCTGGAGCCCATGATGGACACTTGCGGAAGGAGGGGTGGCGGAGCACCCCTGAGATGACATCGCTGCCTGCCCCAGAGCACCCCGCCTCTCCCTGTGACTCAGTTCTTTGCAGCCCAGATGTGAGCATGTGCACCCTGGGACCTGCTGCCCGTTGGGATGCCCAGGCCAAATCAGCCCCTCTGCCTCCATGCTGCACTGATTGCAAGAGTTTCCCACATCTGCAGAGGCCGTGGGCTCAGCCCCACACCAGCCAGGCCACCAGTGTTGATAGCGGTGAGGCGGGGACAAAGGGAATGTCTCAGTTCACAGTGTGGACATGGTGGAGGTCTCGGCCTTGCGAGACAAGGCAGGGGGAGGGGATAGGAAATTGGGGGTATTCTGTGACTCCTGGGCCACCGGGGAGCCAGAATCTTCCAGCCAGACTGGATGGGCAGGGCTTAGCTTCCTGATGCCGCCCATTCACCACTTTCACCCCGGGAACCTACCTGGGCATCATGGGAGGCAGAGCCTGAACCCCAACCCAACCCTAACTCTAATGCTAACCCCTAAACCATCCCCCACCCTAACCCAATCCTCGCCCTAACCCTAATGCTAACCCCTGACCCGACCCAATCCTAACCCTGATGCTAACCCCTGACTCAACTCTCACCCTAACCCTGATGCTAACCCCTGACCCAATCCTCACCCTAACCCTGATACTAACCCTTAACCTAACCCAACCCAGCCCTAACTCCAACTCTAAAGCTAACTCCTAACCCTAGGAGAGGAGCCCAGGCCGGGCCCTCTCCCTGCTGGTTTCCTGTTGGGCTTTGGAGCCCCAGATGCCTGCCCAGAGGCTTCCTTGTGCGGGGTGGGGTCCAGCAGTGGGGGATGGGCCCAGAGCTGGTATAGCCACCAGCAGAGCCATCCTGATCCACAGGACCATCCCTGGTGGGGTGGGGCCCCCTGGGGCAGGAAGGCCACTGAGGCCAGGGAGACTCCCAGGCCCACTCACGGCGCAGGCCCCACAGGAGCTGGCTGGAGGCTATGGGTGCGGGGCGTGGGCCTGCCGGGGGTTGCGTGACAGGCAGTGGGGAGTGGGTTGTGCTGGCAGCTGTGGGTGAGTGAGGAGGCTCCTCTCATGAAGGGCCCTGGGGAAGTGGAATCTGGCCCTGAGAGACCCCCGGCCTCCTCTGCAGGGGCTGCTGGCAGGAGGGGAACCGGGGACCACCTCCCGCCACAGAGCCTGGGGCCCCCAGCCTTGCCTACAGGGAGGGTAGATGAGAGTGTAAACTGCATATGAGGTTGGGCTAAACCTGGACATGTGTTTCATAACCAAAGCAGCCAGGAATCTCCGGCTCTGCCCAGTGATCATCTGGGCAGGACATGGGGACGAGTGTCCAGGCTGAAGTCAGGGCCCGGCCAGCAGAGGGCCATTTTGTATTGAGCTCCACAGCTGGTCACATTCTGTGGAATGTGCAGACGTGCACGGCCCATCAGACAGGGTCTGGAGTGGGGCTGCCGTCTTGGGCAGCTCCTCCCGGGTGTCTGCAAAATGCAGAGGTCACCAGAGCCAAGGCAGCAAGGCAAGGAGCCCGGCTTCTAAGGAACTCTGAGCAGGTGTGGTCCATGGCTGGGAGGCAGCTGGCCCCACAGCACATAGCACGGAGGGCGGCGCGGAGTCCTGGACGCTCTTGGCAGGTCCCCTCATGGAGGATGTGGGGGATTGGCTTAGGCCTGGTCTGGCTGGCCTTCCTGGACCGCAGTGGCCAGGAGCTGAAAACCGTGACCCCAGTCTCCCTGCAGCTGTTCTTGATGGGATTTCTGTTCGCCAGTCAGATGCATTTGCACAGGACTTGGATCCTGAACTGTGTAACCTGGAGAGGCAGGTGTGAGCGGGCCATGCTGCTGGCCCAGCCTGTGCCGGTGTCTGTTTCTGTTGTCTCTCGGCCCTTCTGTGAGCCCTCAGTAAAGCTCTTCGTGCTTCAGTCAGCAAGTGTGGATTCTGTCGTCGGCAACTCTGCGGCCCAAACCCCGAGCCTCCCCCTCCCCCAGACCTTGCAGTGCCATGGAGCTGAGGGACCTGTGGATCCACAGCTGTGGCCCCGGAAGGGCTGCAGGAGCTGAACCTGCGTGAGCCCCGCAGAGGGTGCAGAGCCGGCTTGTGCAGGCTCCCAGCAGGCTCATGACAGCGCGGATGGTTAAATGTAGCTCCTGACAGCCAACTGTTAAGGTTTCAGGCATTTTTGCACCAGGTGACATGATGGTAGCCTGAACGTGACCTTGGCAGCAGTCTCTACATCAAGGAAACTGGCAAATGTCAACATGCTGGGTACCCTCGCTCCTGCCGCCGCAGGCTGTCAGTGTCTTCCAGCCCACACTGCGGGGGGCCTTGTTGTGTGGCTGCCTCCCAGGCTGGGGCGAGGGTCTCCAGAGACCACCATCGTGCAGGCTCTTGGTCAATAGCAGGGTGTGGTGCTCCTGCCAGGGGACGCATTCTCCGTGTGACCTCTACACCCCAGGTCAGGTCAGGATGTGATTTGCTTCTCCAGGGCCGTGACTCACTAGATCCACCTCCCACTGGTGCCTGGTGGCCCCCGACAGCCCTGGCCCTGTCCAGGCCCTGGCCTGTCCTACAGTCACAGGTGCTGGCCTGTCCCTGCTGTCCTCCTGACCACCTGGTGCTCCCGGCCACCCTGCCCGCCCCCCTGTCTCCTCGGGACAGCCTGGCTGCCTCCACTTGCTGGCCCCTGCCGGCCCACCCTCTTTCCAAGCCTGCCCTGCCCCTCAGCTCCTGGGGTGGGGAGGGGAGACCTCGCCTTCTGCCTGCAGCGACTCCCACCTGTCACGGAGCCCCCCTGCAGCACCACCAGGCCCTGCCCTTTCCCAAGCAGAGGGATGGGACAGCCGTGCAGATCTCAGGTCCCGCCCCTAGGGAAGGGCCTCGCTGCAGAAGCCAGGCTGCTCACCTTGGAGTGTGGGGAACCAGCGCCCCTTTCAGCACCCGGTGGTGTCTCTCTGTGGGAAGGGAGCGGTTTTATCCAAGCAGGACACTGTTTTCTGTAGTTTTACCTTCTTTCAAGAAATGTCGTATATGAGACCTCCGTTGAGTGTGGCAGCTGTTCATTGATATTCCATTGGATGCACTAGTGTGTCCTAGTCCCCACGATCAATGTGTAAATCGTAACATCCAATCATAGCGAGTTTCACACACACAGGAATAAATAAATGGAGAGTGCTGTACCGGGCTCCATTCGCCTCCTCCTGCCGTGATGCAAGCCTGCTCTACCTGGCTTCCCATCCTCACACCCGCCTACGTTCTCCCTCCAAATGAGTAAAAGCAAATCCCAGACCTCAAAAACAAAAACAAAACAAAACAAAACCTATCTGTAAATATCAGCAGGAGCTGTTCACACATAGGGCCTCTTTTTTGTCTTAAATATATAACCGCAAAACCACCATCCACCTGAAAATGACATTCCAGCAGTTCCTGAGTCTTCCTCGCTCGGTGCTCACATCTCCCTGACGGTCTCATCGTATTTTCCGGGCTTGCTGGAATCAGAGTCTCCCCAGCGCTCCGCCGAGGCCGCTGGCCAAGGCCTCTTAGGTCTATTAGCTTATGGGCCCCGTTTGTCTGCTGTCGGCTCCCCTCGCGGTGGTTCTGCTGAAGCAGCCTGGCTGCCGGCCCGGGGACACCCTGCCTGGATTCCGCGGCGCCCCCACGCGCCTCTGTGAATGCGTGGGCTCGCTGGATTTCCCGCAGGGCTTGCTGGCCACGCTCTCCCGTCAGCTGTGTGTCTTCCGTTGCCTCCCGGGGACGTTTGTAGCTGCTGTTCATTCGCAGGGTGATTGAGCAGGATCCGCTGGGCCATGAGCCCTCTTCACTTGTTAGCTAGAATCTTCCAGGAAGCGCATCGGTGCCTCCTTCCCTGTGCCTGGTTCCTGCGGGACGGCGGGAGGGTCACTGGCCACGCTCCTTGATTCACCGAGTGCAGGGTGAAGAGCTGCCTCCTCTAACAGTGACAGTCATGTTGTAAGCATCATTTTGCGTGGCTCTAAACACATTTGGTGGCCTTACTTTCCCTAATGCAGCCACAGCATCCTGTCTGTGACCAGAGGCACCTCCGCATCTGCTCTGTCTTTATGACCAGCCCTCGTTGTCCTTGCAGCTTCGTGGCTCTTGGGTGGGACAAGGGGTCCTTGTCTTGTCCCCTCCTGCCCTGGCCCTGGGGAGCCCTGATTTCTTTGGGGAGGAGAGGCATCCACAGCCTGGACTTGACAGGTGCTCGCCGTGAGCCAGCCCTGCCTCTCAGGCCTGCCTGGTCTGTCTCCTCGAAAGGTCAAACAGCCCGTGGGCTCCCATGGATGCTTCCTGTGGCCCAGGGCTAAGGTGCCATCCTCCCACCCTCGCCTGGCCCTCGGTGGCATCTCCACCTCACCTCGGCTCCAAGCACCCCAGAGGCAGAGGGTTCCGCCTTCATTTCACCTCCCTCTTCAAGGCCATCCCCGTGGTGGGCAGAATCGCAGCCCCCAGAGATGTCCCTATCCTCATCCTGGCAGCCTGTGAAGATGTTACTTTATGTGGCAGAAGGGACTTTGCAGGTGGGATTAAATCCAGGACCCAGAGATGGGCGATGTCCTCACAGGGTCCTAGTAAGTGGGGGGCGGGAGCTGTGAGCACAGGGGGTCGGGGTGCTGTGCGGCTGCCTTGGAGGTGGAGGGGGGCACCCTGAGCCACGCATGGGAAAGGCAGGAAACAGGTTCTCTCCTGGAGCCTCCAGAGGGAACCAGCCCTGGCAGTACCTTGATTGTAGCCCCGTGAGACCCGTGTCCAACCTCTGACCTCCAGAATTCTAAAATAGATGGCGTCGGTCAAACCCCAAGTTTTTGGCAATTTGTTTCAGCAGCCACAGGACACCAGCCACCTCCCCACAGTGAGAGCTGCCCACGTGGGCAGAGCCGATGGCCCTCGTGCTCTGGGCACCCTGGGCACCGTCCCCAGGGCTCAGTTCTGGGGGTGAGTGTGTCTTTAATGCCATGGCCTAGTGACCACAGGGAGCTCACATTGCCTCTGTCAGCCTCTCCTGCTTCCCTGCAGGACAGGAGTGTCCCTCCCAGATGGGACAGGGGCTGTGGTGTGGGGTGGCTCAATGCTGCTGGCCACCTGGATCCTCACACACACTCGGGCGCACACACAGGCACACACACACACTCTCACTCTCCCTGTACACACACACACACATGCTTACTCTCCCTGTACACACACACACACACGCTCACTCTCCCTGTACACACACATTCTCCCTGTACACACACACTCTCCCTGTACACACACACACATGCTCACTCTCCCTGTACACACACACTCTCCCTGTACACACACACACATGCTCACTCTCCCTGTACACACACATTCTCCCTGTACACACACACTCTCCCTGTACACACACACACATGCTCACTCTCTCTGTACACACACGCGCATGCTCACTCTCCTTGTACACACACTCCCTGTACACACACTCCCTGTACACACACACACGCTCACTCTCCCTGTACACACACATTCTCCCTGTACACACACACTCTCCCTGTACACACACACACATGCTCACTCTCCCTGTACACACACACACTCTCCCTGTACACACACACACATGCTCACTCTCCCTGTACACACACATTCTCCCTGTACACACACACTCTCCCTGTACACACACACACATGCTCACTCTCCCTGTACACACACGTGCATGCTCACTCTCCTTGTGCACACACTCCCTGTACACACACACACACGCTCACTCTCCCTGTACACACACATTCTCCCTGTACACACACACTCTCCCTGTACACACACACACATGCTCACTCTCCCTGTAACACACACACACTCTCCCTGTACACACACACACGCTCACTCTCCCTGTACACACACACGCTCACTCTTCCTGTACACACACACACACGCTCACTCTCCCTGTACACACACACACTTGATCTCACTGCACACACACACCAGCACACACGCTCACACACATTGTCTTACACACCTGAGCTGGGGACCGATGAGACTGACCGATGAGAGTTCAGTGACAGCAAAATCCTGCAGCCTCGTGACAGGGCTCAGGGAGGGCTGCCTGCCTGGGAGGGGACAGCAGCCATGGCCTCACGTGGCCAAGGTTGCTAGAGAGGGGGCCTCAGGTCATCCTCACATGGGCCTGGTTTGCTGGTCGTATTTCTATTTTCAGATGAGAAACTTGAGACTGAGGTCCAGAGGGGAGAAAGGACGCACTCAGGACAGGGCTTGTTTGGGGCACAGCTGGGCTGGAGTCGGGGTCTCTGACACCCAGCCCTGGAGACCCTCTCTCGGCAACCTGGGCCATGGCAGTTGTCAAAACAAATCGGCAAGTCCTTGATGGAGCCCCAGAAGGGAGAGTGGCCAGTGCCACGGTGAGCAGTGCCCAGGGCCACGCTGGCTAGGAGCGGGGCTGCCTATGCTGGGAGCCCTGTGCACTGGGCTCTGCACCCGTAGCCATGGCAACGATGCTGGCTGGAGATGGAGTGGACGCTCAGGTGCCGCTGGATGATGCCGGCCACCTGCAGTTTTGGGGCCCAGCTGGAGGTCAGCAGGGTGGACTCACAACCCCCTGAGTTCAGGTACAGGGAGCTGTGGAGACAGGCCCACCCAGGCTGACCTTCCCCAGAGCCTTGCTGTCACGGAGAGGAGGGGGCGTTGGAGGAAGGGCCACAAATGCAGGAGAGGGGGCAATGGCCTGGGACAAGATGGAGAACAGCCACCCGTTCCCCAGTACAGCCAGGTCAGGACACGGATCCCAGCAAGCCCTTTGGATGGGGAGACTGAGGTACAGCTGATGACTCACCCTAGGTGATACCAGCTGTGAGAGCCGGAGTGGGGATGCAGACAGGGAGGGTGGCCAGTGGCCACCTGCGAGGACTCAGCAGCCAGGGCGATGACGCCAGAGAGTCAAGGCGTGAGAACCCCCGAGAAGAAGAGTGAGTGTCATTCACCTAACGACGCGGTGACTGCACATTTGCCCAAGTTGTAACTGTGGCAGGTGCAGCGCGCAGACCAGGCAGGAGATGGAGAGACGTCCAGGGGGAGGTCTCGCTGTGTCAAGGTGCTCAGCTCCAGGTGCCAGCCGGCCCGAGACAAAAGTGGACCAGCCTTGACGCCCTGGTCTGCCGCCTCCCTCCATTGCCTGCCTCCCCGGCTGCATACACGTTCAGATTTTAGGCGATCAGTGGTGGACCCTACAGGCCTCTGTGGGCAGTGGTCACCTCGCTCTGCGCTTACCCCAGGGGCTCGCGGCTTCAAAGGGTCTGGGTGCCAGGTGGGCCCCAGAACAGCTCCCGATGTGACCCCTACCCAGGCTGCACCAGGGAGCCCCCTCCGTGCACACAGGTGCGCTGGAGGTAGCCTCCTGGGATGGGCCAGGTGAGCTGGAGGTAGCCTCCTGGGACCGGCCAGGTGACCTGGAGGTAGCCTCCTGGGATGGGCGCCCTGTCTCCTGTCCTCACACTCAGCTTGGCAGCATGCTGGGGAAGCTGCCCTCTCGACCCTCCTGGGCACAGCTTGCACTTCTGAGCCCCAGCCAAGGCGAGTAGGCGGGCGCAGGTGACGGGCTCAGGGTGCTGCCCGAGAGCAGCTCTGCTCCCGGTCAGCGGGACCCAGGTCTCCGCAGGCTCCGGGTGCCTCTGATGTCCCTGTAGCCACTGGCAGGGGTGACGAGATCCAAGGCTCCGGGTGGAAACGCCAACCTCCGATCCTTGCCCTGGGCCTCAGCCGAGAAGTCACGTGGACCCAGAGCCTGTGGAAATCACGATGATTGGGCCGTGAAGACAGAGGGTTCCTGAGCAAGTCATTCGAATCAGCATCACCAGAAAGCGGATGCCTCATCAGTCTTCAGGTGTTTAGCAGCCCAGGGACAAGGACTGGGAAGGGACACTTCTGTCCAGAGTCTAGCCCCGGACTCAGGGCTCGGCTGCTGCTGTTGCATTCCCTTGGTACCTCGTGGGTATCACTTAGGATTTAAGCCTGTTTTTCACCAGTTGGGTCTCTTTCATGCCTGGGTGTAGCCACTGGAGTGAACCCAGCCCTTGGTGTGCCGTAGCTTCAGCATTTGTGCTGGTATTTCAGATTTATTTATTTATTTATTTATTTATTTATTTATTTATTTATTTTTGAGATGGTGTCTCACTCTGTTGCCCAGGCTGGATTGCAATGGTCAGCTCACTGCAACCTCTGCCTCCTGAGTTCAAGTGATTCTCCTGCCTCGGCCTCCCAAAGTGCTGGGATTACAGGCGTGAGCCACCACGCGCTGCCAATGCAGCCCTTTTTAATAAATGACATGAGTCACAAGAGAATCTCCAAGAATTACTAGGTAAAACTACTTAGGAAGGAATACTTGGCTTCCAGGTATTAAATTACACGAAAATGCTCAGTAAACAAATCAACCTACAATTGGCATAACTTTTGGAAAGGTTAAAGTTACAAATGTTGGAAATAAAAAGATTCTAGAATAGAACTGGCTTTTTTTTTTTTTTTTCATTTTAGGGAAAAACATTCTTAAGGTAAAACAATGGAAGTAAGTGAAAATGGAAGATGCCTGTCCAGTGTGACATGTTTGTGAAATATATAGTTTTATATATTTTAAAATATAAGTAACTAGATCTGGGCTGGGCACAGTGGCTCACGCCTATAATCCCAGCACTTTAGGAGGCTGAGGCGGGTGGATCACCTAAGGTCAGGAGTCACTTGAACCTGGGAGGCGGAGGTTGCAGCGAGCCAAGATCATTGCACTCCGGCCTGGGCGGCAGAGCGAAACTCCATCTCAAAAGAAAAGAAGAGAAGAGAAGGGAAGGGGAGGGGAGGGGAGGGGAGGGGTTGCATTGGGATTTTGATTGGAATTGCATAGAAACTCCATATTAACGTGGGACATTTTACAATGCTAGGACATCAGTTTGAAGGTTTGTCTAAGTCTTTGTGTCCTGCAGTCTGATTTTGTTTATTTCTAGGGCATGTGGACAGTTTTAACCAGGTCCTCTTCCCGTATGATGCGGGGAAGGGGACAGTGCGGTGAACTTTGCAGATGGCGAAAAGACCCAAGTTTTATGCGCCTAGACTAAGGAGGAGGATACTTCCCAAATGGTAGCTAATTTCTAGACGCTTGGTAGTTAAGTTTATTTGGAGGTGATAAGCATGTTGTTGGGAAATGATCTGGCTTACATGTGCTATGTGTGATCTATAATTACATGTCCTATGTAATGTTAAGGATTATCTGTACTGGGTGATACTCACATACTTGAGAACTGGGTTTGTGGATTTTGGCCTGGTTGACGTATGACAGGTTGTCACAACAGTTCATCTTCTTGCTTAATATTCATGCGGGGCACAACTTAATGTACAATAATACACAAACGTACAATGTGTGATGAAACACATAGCACATCATTAAAAGTGGCAAGCACAATGTTCATGGTTATCGTAATAATTTATAGGAGTTTTTCCAATACTGACATGGCAGTTAATATTAATTAATTGCACCTCAAGTATGAATGTCAGGGGGTAAAGTAGAATCACGCTTTGGGTACCAGTGGTGGAGCAGATAGCTTCTTCCTCGAATTGGCCTAGGGAGGAGTGCTCTCCATTTTTGGTTTACAAGACCAGAGTCACATAAATATACCACAAGGACTTCTTCCTTTCAGTAGCTTGTCTTCGATTCAGCTAGTGAGTGGTATTAAAAGGAGAATGAGAGGGAAATACATAGTGGATGCTTCTTGACCAACCATAATGAAAGGCTGTTCAATGGGCTGACCCCCGAGCCACGTATGTGTGAGAAGCTCTGCTCCTAGAATTCAAATGGACATTAGCTGAATGGTGGGATATTATGGATGCTCCATTGTTTAGACAGGTGAAGTATTGGGACAATGGCCAGGATGAGAACAGAGAAGACAGGGGCCAGAATTCCTCCTGAGGTATTGGGAATGGAGCATAGGGTTGATGTGTCATTCTGGTTTGATGTGAGGTGGTGCGTTAGGGGATTTGCTGGGCTATAATTATCTAGGTCTCCTAGTAGGTCAGGTTAAAACAAGACTGCAACAGGTAATCATCATGGGAGGAGAACCAAGCCTAAAATGTTTTTGTATTTTTTTTTTCTGAGACGGAGTCTCGCTCTGTCGCCCAGGCTGGAGTGCAGTGGCGCGATCTTGGCTCACTGCAAGCTCCGCCTCCCGGGTTCACGCCATTCTCCTGCCTCAGCCTCCCGAGTAGCTGGGACTACAGGCACCCGCCACCACGCCCGGCTAATTTTTTGTATTTATAGTAGAGATGGAGTTTCACCGTGTTAGCCAGGATGGTCTCGATCTCCTGACCTTGTGATCCGCCTGCCTCGGCCTCCCAAAGTGCTGGGGATTACAGGCATGAGCCACCTCGCCCAGCCCTAAAATGTTTTTAATTGTGTAGTATGGGTGAAATGGGATTGTGCCACATCTGATGAAATTCCTGATGGGTTGTTGGATCCCGTTACCTGAAGGGAGAGAAGGTGGACAGCTACCAAGGCAGCGACGTGAAGGGTAAAGTGAAGTGAAAAGTGAAGAATCGTGTCAGGGTGGCTTTGTCAACTGAAGATCTGTCTCCACCTGACTCCACTAGATAGGTGCCAGTGCATGGAATAGCTGATCACAGGGTTGTGATCACTGTGTGTGAGCGCTCCTTGTATGAGTCTGTTCTCACACTGCTGTAAGGAACTACCTGAGACTGGGTAATGGACGAAGAAAAGAGGTTTCATTGACTCACAGTTCTGTAGGCTGTATAGGAAGCATGGCTGTGAGGCCTCAGGAAACTTACAACCATGGAGGAAGGCTAAGGGGATTCAGGCACCTTATTCACGTGACGGAGCAGGAGAAAGAGAGACAAGGGAAGAAGCGCCACACGCTTTTAAACCATCAAATCTCATGGGAACTTGCTCACTACTGAGGACTAAGCTCTCATTTTTTTTTTTTTTTTTTTTTTATCTTGCCCAAATTCCTATCTAGATGATCCTAAATCCTATCTGGATGGTCATGTCCTACAAACCATAAATTCTCATGAGATGGTTTTATTTAACCCTACATGTTGTGACTTACTTTCCAGTCTGACTCTGGCATGACATTATGTGACAAAGAAGAAAGTCAAAATAATTTACCCCAAAACATGTTTCTTTGACATATCTTTGCTCTGCAAAGCTGTCCTTTGTGGGGGAAAATTTGCATCTCTAAAGAATCTGTATTAACATAGCTAGATCTTTTTCTTCCAAGTCCTCCCAATCCTGAAGAGATTAAAAGTCTAGCACCTTTTAAAGATTTAAATAGGAAACATTGTCATCTATTGTCTCTAAGGGCAGCCACTATGAGACTTCCAAAGAAACTTGGTCTCCACAATCTTTTATCTTAACTAACATTTCCTTTCTATGATCCCAGGTCTTTAGACAAACTCAACCAATTGTTAACCAGAAAATGTTTAGATTCACCAAAAGCCTGGAAGTCCCCACTTTGAGTTGTCCCACCTTTCTGGACCAAACCAGTATATTTCTTAAATGTATTTGGCTGATGTCTCATGCCTCCCTAAAATCTACAAATCCAAGCTGTACCCCGACCACCTTGGGTACATGTTCTCAGGACCTCCTGAAGGCTGTGTCACAGGCCATGGTCACTCATATTTGGCTCAGAACAAATCTCTTCAAATATTTTACAGAGTCTGACTCTTTTTGTCGACACTATCATGAGAACAGCAAGGAGGAAATTCGCCCCTATGATTCAGTCGCCTCTCACCAGGCCCCTCCTCCAATTCGACATGAGATTTGGGTGGGGACACAAATCCAAAACATGTCACTCCTCAAAAAGACATTTGTCTTCATGGTAGGGCGTAGCCTATACATGCTGTTGCTATCACTGCCAATAGCAGAAATGATGTCAATGTTTCCGGTTTCCAGAAAAGTGTAGGACCCCTGGGATAAGCCTCTTCCTACATATATAAATAGGCAGATGAGAATATTGATGTCAATGTCAGATAACTCAGCCATAATTTACATCTCAGCAGATATGTGCAACAGAGGAAAATGCAGTTACTGTATCTGGTGTATAATGTATAGCTAGAAAAAGTCCTGTAATGATTTCTAGGGCTCGGCAGACCCCTAAAAGTGAGCCGAAATTCCATCATGCAGAGATAGTTGATGGCACTGGGAAGTCAGTGAAGAAGTGGTTGATAATTTTTATTAGGTGGTGGGTTTTTCAAATGTCGACCACTAGATTTCTTGTTTTTTGTTTTTTGCTTTTGGAGATGGAGTGTATATCTGTTGCTGGAGTGTAATGACACGATGACAGTTCATTGCAGCCTCGACTTTCCAGGCTCAAGTGATCCTCCCACCTCAGCCTCCCGAGTAGCTGGGACCACAGGCATGCACCACCATGCCCAGCTAATCAAAAAAAAATTTTGTAGTGATGGGGTCTCACTGTGTTTCCCAGGCTGGTCGTCAACTCCTGGGCTCAAATGATCTACCCGCCTTGGCCTCCCAAAGTGTTGGGATTATTGTCATGAGCCACTGTGCCTGGCCCAGCCATAGACTTCTTACAGTTGAAATACAATGATGATTTTTTGCATCATTAGTCATGGTTAAATGCCATGTGAGAATTATGACATACAACATATTTTTATTAAGTACAATGTTTGTTGTAGGTTTTGTGGGTTTCTCTTCAAAACCTTTGCCAGTTTTGGGGGGTTTGGGTTAATTATTAGTGGAAGGGTGGGTTGTGGTATTGTATTAAAGGTCAGTGGTGCATTTATAGGATTAGGAGTATTTTTAATTTATTTGGGGGAATGATAGTGATGTTTGGATGTACCGCGGCAACAGCTACTGAGGGTTATCCTGAGGCTTGGGGTCTAATGTTGTTATTTGAGGGCTTTAATTGATGGGGCTGTTGCTAGAGTTAGTTATAATTGCATGAACAGCAGGGCATGATAAGGTAGAGATTGATTTTAAAAACTAGGAGAACAGGCCAAATGCGGTGGCTCATGCCTGTAATCCCAGCACTTTGGGAGGCTGAGGCGGGTGGATCACCTGAGCTTGGGAGTTCAAGAGCAGCCTGACCAACATGGAGAAACCCTGTCTCTACTAAAAATACAAAATTAGCCGGGCGTAGTGGCTCATGCCTGTAATCCCAGCTACTCAGGAGGCTGAGGCAGGAGAATCGCTTGAACCCGGGAGGTGGAGGTTATGGTGAGCCGAGATCACGCCATTGCACTCCAGCCTGGGCAATAAGAGCGAAACTCTGTCTCAAAAAACAAACAAACAAAAAAAATCAAAAACAAAAAACTAGGAAACTGATTTTTGAGGATGAAGAAGTAGGACTTCTTGGTGAAGACTGTAGGTATAGCTATACAGGTATACAGTTATGGTAGTTGGTTGATGGTGGTGGCTGGTTGATCTTTATTTGTTAGGATTTTTATTGTAACTGAAGTTACTCAAGGGTATTGATTAGGAGTGTGGCTAGGAAAGTGGGGTGAGGAAAGAGAGAAAGTAAAGTTTGATTAGGCCTTTTTGGTTGGATACAGTTGTTGAGGTTAGTGTTTGGAGCTGCGTTGCATTTGTTGGTATTGTTGTTCTATTCAGATCAGGTCTAGCTGGAGGGATGCTGTGTTTAGACCGGCAGTTAGATTCAAGTGTGGTGTCGGGCCAGGTGAATTGGAATTGGGAAATATTCTAATAGGTTGGAAATTTATGTGGGTGTAAGCGGGGTTCAAATCTGAGATGACGTATGATGAAGTTGCATTCTATTGCCACCGTAAATGCTGAGAAGCCACAGCAAGAGCTGTGAATTGTGGGTCTGAGGGTGTGGTTATGTGGGGCAGAGAGATGGGAGTCATGATGGTGGAGGTGAAGAATCCGGCAGAGGCACCACCAACTGAGTTGATTAGAAGGGGTCACTTTCCTTGATGACACAACCAGGTTGTGAAGCCAGGTTGCTCTAAGAGCGGGAAGACAGCATTCGAGTGTGAAGGCAGCTGTGAGGGAGGAGGCGAGGGGCAGAATCAGGAGGGCGCAGGTGTGGGTATATGTGTGTTTGTGGTTTTGACGATCAGGTCTTTGGAGCAGGTGCCCCCGAGGAAAGGTGCACACATGCGCGCAAGGCTGCCGGTGACGTGTGAGGACGAGGTCAAGGGTAAGGCTTTCAATAGGCCCTCATTTTTTTGAATGTCTTCCATGGCTGATGGTGGTCATGGGCCCAATTCGTGGGAGAATATCAGCGTTAGGGTTGAGAATGAATATGTGTTGAAATTCTCCCGTGTTGGAGCACAGTGGAAATCATGCTGCAATGAAACCGATTCTCCCATGAGGTCGTAGAAGCTGCTTGCAGGGCTGCTGCGTTAGCCTCTGCTCCATCAGCCAGGTGGTGGAAATGATATAATACCTACTCCTCCCCATCTGATACAAGTTGAACTGGATGGTTGGTGGTGACTAGGATTAGCAGCATGGTGAGAAATATGGGTAGATATTTAAAGAATTGATTGGTATTAGGATCTGAGTGCATATGTTACATTGAGAACTCTGTAAATCACCATGTGACAAAAAGTGCTATTGGTAATAATCGCGTTTAAAACTAAGTGAGAGCTTTCGGGTTTGGATAGTTATTCAGGGTCAGTGTGAGATAATAGTTGCTTGGCCCGAGTGAATAAACATGAGAGCTGGGGTAATTCTGGTAATGAAGTTTGCACACTGTGGACGTCTTTACTGAATTGGGTAGGCGTTATCTCGACAGGTGCTGGTTGAGTAATAACAGTTGGTGAAGTCAATAAGATTCATGAAGTTAGAATGAAAGAGGAGAATACATTTATTACTTTTATTTGGAGTTGCACCAATTTTTTGATTCCTAAGACCGATGGATTACTTCTATCCTTTAAAAGTTGAGAGAGAAAAAACAAAAAACAAACAAAAAAAACTAGTTAAGAGTTGGTCACAGCCGACACCAGGAAAAGGCAGTCTTCCAATAGACAGAAAGCACCGCACCTGAAGCTGGTGATCTGCAGCTTCCCAGTAAGACCTCAGGAGTTGGGCGAGTGGGTTCAAGCACATTAAGAAGCAAAGTGGTGAAGTTTAACTGGTATGTGACCTTCCGCTGGAATGCTCAGCTGGCAAGGGAAGAGCACCTCAAGTGAGCATGTGTACAATTTCAGGGCACACATTGTGCACGCAGCCCCTCCCACATGCTGGCAGGCCACGGCGCGCGTGACAGCCCACCCCAAGGGAAGAATCACAGGAGAAGAGACGCAGACCCCGGAACCATGCCAATGTATAAAAACCCAAGTCAAAAGTCAAACTGTGCACTTGAATCTTCCAAGTCGCCCACTTGACCCTCTTCCAAGTGTACTTTACTTCCTTTTGTTCCTACTCTAAAACTGTTTAATCAACTTTCACTTGTGCTCTAAAACTTGCCTCAGCCCCTCACTCTGCCTTATGCCCCTCAGACGAGTTATTTCCTTTGAGGAGGGAGGAATTGAGTTACTTCAGGCCCGGATGGATCCACCGCTGCTGACGTACTTTGGTGCTGACGTACTTTGGTGCCGTGACTCGGATACATTCCCTAGAGGTAAGAGATCTCTACGCTTTGCCTTCATGAATATTCCTCTTGCTTCCTCCCACTTCCTCCCATAGCCAAGGGATTGTCCCATCTGCTTAAGCATTTGTTCTTCATGTTACCCCGGGAGGACGAGGAACCCCAAATACAAATCTTCCTCCATTTCTCTAATCACTTCCATGCTCTTCTCAATATGCACCAAGACCTTCAAGGTCATATCTGAAGGGAGGGGAGTCCGACCCCCTGTGGCAATTAGCCAAAAAAAAAAAAAAAGGCTTCTGATATGGTTTAATCTCATCTTAAATTGTAATGCCCACATGTTAAGAACGAGACCTGGTGGGAGGTGATTGGATTGTGAAGCAGTCTCCCCAGGCTGTTCTTGTGATGGTGAGTGAGTTCTCATGAGATCTGATGGTTTAAAAGTGATTGGCAGTTCCTCCCTTGCTCTCTCTCTCCTGCCACCCTGCAAGCTGTGCCTTGCTTCCCCTTCACGTTCTGCCATGATTGTAAGTTTCCTGAGGCCTCCCCAGTCATGAAGAACTGTGAGTCAATTAAACCTCCTTTTTAAATAAATGACCCAGTCTCAGGCATTCTTTATAGCAGTGTGAAAATAGACTAATACAGCTCCTCATCTCCTTCAAGAACATGGGAACTGGGAATCCGAGAAGAGATACCACCTTGTTGCTAGCATGCTCCAAGTGAGAGTCACTATCAGGTCATGGAGATGAGGATATAGGATGGCCCAAGGCCGCAGGTGCAAGAGACCCATAGGACAGAGATGAAGGTTTTTCCCAGGCTATCAGATTACCATTAGAACAGAGATGAAGGCAAGGTGAGGGGTACACAGACCAGTTCATTCCACAACCCCAAGGATGAACACGGGGCCCCCTGTTCATTCTGGCATCTTCCTTGTTCTCATGCGGGTAATTGTGACAAAATGGGACCAAGGTTAAGGGTACGTCGTAAAATGGGTTCATTCTGGAACCCTAAGGATGAATGGGGGTGCCCTGTTCAGGAAAGGATAATAAGGAAATAACAGGGGACTCCTTCTTTTTCCTTTTTTTTCCTCCTCTGTTCTCTCTGGATAATCACATCTCTATACCACAGGACACACCCCTTAAATGCATCCCCAAGAACTGGGAAAAATTTGATCCTCCAAAGCTTAAAACAAAAAACTCACTTTCCTTTGTAATAAAAAGGAACTGGGAGAAAATTACAAGAGTCAACCTTAGAACCCAGTGTCCCTATGCAGAAAAATCCTCAAATTAGCCTCCTCAGTTGTTTATAACTGAGAGCAGAATAAGGAGGACAGGGCTAAGGAGAAGGAGAAACGCAGGGACAAGAGGCAGGCTCAACTATTGGCTGTTTTACAAGCCCTCCCGCCCCTCCAGGTTGCCCTCAGAACACCCTCCCAGGTAACTGCCATCGCTGCGGGAAGCCAGGCCACTGGAAGGCAGACTGCATCAGTCGGACAAATGGGAGGAAGCTCCACACAGCTGGCCCCCTCCGCCACACTCAGCCAGTGGAACAGGACTGCCCTGAGGGCTGAAGGGCCCTGGGACAGATTCTCAACCCCTGATGACTTTCAGCTGAAGGAACTGTCTGCACAGCTGGCCTCCAAGTCAGACATCGTATAAATTAACAAATTTCCTTGTCAATTGTGTCTAACTGCGGCTGCCCCAAGACTTATCATACACAGACAATTGTTGCTTCATTTTAATCCCCTTTAAAAGATGGTTTTATAATCAATATAGGACTCTAATAACAGGTGCT
The DNA here is from genome assembly GCF_000001405.40 of Homo sapiens. NCBI lineage: Eukaryota > Metazoa > Chordata > Mammalia > Primates > Hominidae > Homo > Homo sapiens. The sequence continues at coordinate 44,477,611 of NC_000021.9, forward strand.
CTTAAGTCACCTGCCCCAGAGGGGAGGCTTGAGTGACACCTGGAGCTCCTGCACCATGGGGGAGACATGAGTGACACCTGAGCACCTGTATCTTGTAGGAGGTCTGGGTGTGACGTGAGCCCCTGCAGCAGAGGGGAGGCTTCAGGAACACCTGGAGCACCGGCATCTCACAGGAAGGAGGCTTGGGTGTGACCTGAGCACCTGCACCACGGGAGAGGCTTGGGTAGTGTGTGGACACCTAGACCACAGGGAGGCCTGGGAACTGCCTGAGCACCTGCACCACGGGAGAGGCTTGGGTGACACTTGGGCACCTGCACCCAACACAGGTAGCAGTGATCACAGTGAAAACATTTTGTTAGCAGTCGTCTGCTTCCTGTCCTGGCATGAGCAGCAACGGGTAAAGGGCACTCTTGTCAGCTGAGGGGATGAGTGGGGCTCTGCCCAGCTGGTTGGAGACTCCAGCAGGTTTGCAGGAGGAGACGGAAGAGCAAGGAGTGGAGGCAAAAACTGCTGCCAAGATCCTGTGGGAAAACAGGAACCCAAAGAAGGAACTCCAATGGGAAACTAATTTAGACAACAATGATCTTAAAGTTTTTGCTCCTTCGAGACTGTTGAAAAGAACTCCCACGAGTGAACAAAAGACGCCTGGCCGAGGACACTCCAGAGTGCTGTCACGAGGGTTCCCTGCAGTTTTCAGAAACTTGGAGCATGTGGCCACAGCGGCTTGCACGTGATTCATACGGCACATCTTGTCACCATGTAAATGTTTATCAGCAGAGACAAAGACCAGAAGAGCAACCTTGGAAAGAGCTAAATATTCCGATGTTCCAGCATTTTCCCCTCTGGTTTGTATTGTGAATTTTTAAAATCTCGATTGACAAGTTCTGGTGTTTTTAGTTTTGTTTCCACCCAGCAGTGCTGGTGCCCTTTGATTGTAAACAGAGCAGAGTGCACCGGGTGGGAGTGCATGTGGCTCCCTGCGTGTGCCTGGGTGCTGGCAGCACCTTGTCTGCCTCCTTCCTCCCTGGCGCCAGCTCCTGACGCAATCAGAGGCCCAGTGACACCCACAGCACAGGGAGGAAGTGCGTGGATGTCCAGGTCCCTCCACGGAGCACAGCTGTGTAGCTTCAGGTGCTCAGGGAGGATGCCCCATTCACTCCTCCCTCATGGGTAAACTGAGGCACAGGGATGGGGAACTGGCCAGTGGGACTAAACACAAGATGTCCTGACTCCTGTGTGGGACTGTTGCCTCTTTGGGCCTTGCATTCATCAGGGCTCAGCAAGGAAACAGAGCCACTAGGATGTGTGGAGAGGAGCAGAGACTTTGCACGAGGCATTGGCTCCTGTGCGGTGTGGGCGGGCAGGCTCAGGACCCAGAAGAGCCCATGGTGCAGGCCAAGCCCAAAGGCAGGCTGCAGGAGAAGGCCTTCTGGCCCAGGGGGGCCAGCCTTCTTACTCTATTTTGGCCTTCAACTGATTGGAGGAGTGTAGGGACCAGCCCCACAGGGTTGGTGGGTCTCTCCCTGTGTGCAGCGACGAGAGAGTGTAGAAATAAAGACACAAGACAAAGAGATAAGAGAAAAGGCAGCTGGGCCCGGGGGACCACTACCACCAATGCACAGAGACCAGTAGTGGCCCCGAATGCCAGGCTGCGCTGTTATTTATTGGATACAAGGCAGAAGGGGCAGGGTAAAGAATGTGAGTCACCTCCAATGATAGGTAAGGTCATGTGGGTCACGTGTCCACTGGATGGGGGGCCCTTCCCTGCCTGGCAGCCGAGGCAGAGAAGGAGAGGAGACAGAGAGAAAGACAGCTTACGCCATTATTTCTGCATATCAGGGACTATTAGTACTTTCACTAATTGACTACTGCTATCTAGAAGGCAGAGCCAGGTGTACAGGATGGAACATGAAGGCAGACTAGGAGCATGACCACTGAAGCACAGCATCACAGGGAGACGGTTAGGCCTCCGGATAACTGTGGGCGAGTCTGACTCATGTCAGGCCCTCCACAAGAGGTGGAGGAGCAGAGTCTTCTCTAAACTCCCCCGGGGAAAGGGAGACCACCCCGCCCCCCTGCCGCTTTCCCGGTCTGCTAAGTAGCGGGTGTTGTTCCTTGACACCTTTTGCTACCGCTGGACCACGGTCCACCTGGTAACAGGCATCTTCCCAGACGCTGGCGTCACCGCTAGACCAAGGAGCCCTCTGGTGGCCCTGTCCGGGCATAACAGAAGGCTCACACTCCTGTCTTCCGGTCACACTTCACTGTGTCCCCTCAGCTCCTATCTCTGTATGGCCTGGTTTTTCCTAGGCTATGATTATAGAGCGAGGATTATTATAATATTGGAATAAAAAGTAATTGCTACAAACTAATGATTAATGATATTCATGTATAATCATATCTAAGATCTATATCTGGTACAACTATTCTTGTTTTATATTTTATTATACTGGAACAGCTCGTGTCCTCTGTCTCTTGCCTTGGCGCCTGGGTGGCTTGCCGCCCACAGATGAGGCCCACCCACCTGCTTTACCCGAAGTTCACAGATTTAAAAATTAATCTCATCCAAAAACACACGCCAAATTGACCCATGAAGTTAACCATCACAGCTATCAGGTGGGGCTCTCAGAGGTCCCCACAGCGCGCCTGACCTGGGTGGTTTCTCCCCTTCTCCCCGTCTGGCCACCTTGCCTCTGAGGGTACTTCCGGGGGCTCTGCCAGCAGGTGTACCCCAGGATGACCAGCCTGCCCTGCCTGAAGCTGCCTCCCCACAGGCCCGGCCAGGTCCCTGATGGTCTCTGCACTTCCTCCAGTCACCCCTATCCTTCCTGGCCCCGCAGGCCCCACCTGCAACCCCAGTGAAATCTGAGCACCCCAGCCCTGAGAGGTGTGGCTGCTCCTCCATGGGTGGGGTTGGCAGATGGAGCTGATAAAAATGCAGGCTGGCCAGTTACATCTGGATTTCAGATCGATAGCTGTCTTTCAGTGTAAGTACGTCCCGTGTAACATTTGGGATATACTTACACTAAAAAATGTATTCATTGTTTATCTGAAATTCAGATTTCACCAGGCACCCTGCATGTTTATGTGGCATCCTCGGCCCCACCTCTCCTGAGGCCAGCAACTCCAGGCCAGACACACTGGAGCCCCTGGCTGCCCAGGGCCGGCCAAGGAGAGGCAAGGGCAGGGCCAGGCCTCAGGGATGGCGACAGCAGGGATGTGTGGGGGTGGGGGTCTCTGCTGCAGGCTGGGCTGGGCTTGGCACATCCCCATGCTCCACGCGCATGCAGGGGCGATGGGGGCGGCCTCTGAGGTCATGGAATTCCCTGGGCTCTCCTGGCCTCTGGGGCTCCTCATGCTCACAGGTTCTCTGGCCTGGCCCCTTGGCCCTGCTTTTCTGGCTCCCTGAGGAGGCTGTGACAGGTCAGCACCCACCAGCCCTCTCAGGGCTCCTGGTTACCTACTGGCCTGAAGGAGGCTCTGGAAAAATCAAAGCTTTTAGAAACTAGGAGGGTCTGGTTAGTCTTAAAATCCCAGATGTGGACCTGCACCGAGAAGGAACAGGCTGGGAGTGGTCACTGCATTAGTCCATTTTCACACTGCTGTGAAGAACTGCTTGAGACTGGGTAATTTAGAAAGGAAAGAGCTTTAATTGACTCACAGCTCAGCATGGTTGGAAAGGCCCCAGGGACACTCACAATCCCGGTGGAAGGGGAAGCAAGGCACCTTCTTCAGAAGGCGGCAGGAAAGAGAAGCAACGCAGGAGGAGCTACTGAGCATGTATGAAACCACCAGGTCTCCTGAGAGCTCACTGTCACAAGAACAGCATGGGGGGACCACCCCATCATCCAGTCACCTCCACCTGGTCTCTCCCGTGCATGGGAACAGCATGGGGGGACCACCCCATCATCCAGTCACCTCCACCTGGTCTCTCCCGTGCATGGGAACAGCATGGGGGGACCACCCCATCATCCAGTCTCCTCCACCTGGTCTCTCCCGTGCATGGGAACAGCATGGGGGGACCACCCCATCATCCAGTCACCTCCACCTGGTCTCTCCCGTGCATGGGAACAGCATGGGGGGACCACCCCATCATCCAGTCACCTCCACCTGGTCACTCTCGTGCATGAGAACAGCATGGGGGGACCACCCCATCATCCAGTCACCTCCACCTGGTCTCTCCCGTGCATGAGAACAGCATGGGGGGACCACCCCATCATCCAGTCACCTCCACCTGGTCTCTCCCGTGCATGAGAACAGCATGGGGGGACCACCCCATCATCCAGTCACCTCCACCTGGTCTCTCCCGTGCATGGGAACAGCATGGGGGGACCACCCCATCATCCAGTCACCTCCACCTGGTCTCTCCCGTGCATGGGAACAGCATGGGGGGACCACCCCACCATCCAGTCACCTCCACCTGGTCTCTCCCGTGCATGAAAACAGCATGGGGGGACCACCCCATCATCCATTCACCTCCACCTGGTCTCTCCTGTGACACATGAGGATTATGGGGATTATGGGGCTTACAATTCAAGATGAGACACAGCTGCTTCTTCCTTTGTTCTTCCTTTCCACACTTCTGGGGTTAATAAGCGCTGTGCTTTGTTATATAGCTGATAAAACAGTCAAAGGCCTAAGCTATTGTCAAAAACAGTATAATGCCACTAGCTTTTGAGTGTGTATGTCAAAATCTGTTTTTCTGTATCTAACTTTTCTTACTTCCTTTTGCAAAGGGAACCTGCTTAGCCTGATAGTGATAGTGATAGTGTCATACTTACGGGAAGCCAGCTCCCTCGACTTTTTCGTTTTTATCCCTCTATTTTTCTCGGGCTGGAGGGCATTGACACATTCATTTATTTATTTCTCAGAAAAGGCAACAGAGGTTCAGGGAGGCTAATGACTTGCCCAAGTTCACATTGCTAACCTACAACAGGGCTGAAGGGGATCATGTCTACGGTGGTCCATTTCCAAGACAAAGTGCCTTGAATCGGCTTAGGTCTGCAAAATACAGAAGAAACAGGATATCCCAGGCCCCTGCTCAGACAGCCGATGCCTGCTTATCGGGATCCCCCTTAGTTGCCCTCACCTGAACCAAAGAAGTTTAGTCTAAGATAAAAGTTTACCAGTCTGCAAAATAGCTGGCTTTGTCTGTTCTTATCAGCCTGCCAGCTACGTAGGTCATAAGTCAAATATTTAAAGAGCCCCAGGGCTAACTAGGATTGCAATGCACTGTGGGCTGCAACAAAATGCAGCAAGACAACCCTAAAAAGACACCTACAGCCCCTGCCCAACAACCAATAGGTGACATCTGGGAAGACTGTGACCCCATAGTGCTCAGCCTATGAGGAACTGGGGGAGGGACCTGCACACTAAGGGATAAAGTGCTTGTTAAAACCATGCTGGAGGCTGGTGCAGTGGCTCACGCCTGTAATCCCAGCACTTTAGGAGGCCGACGTGAGGCAGGCGGATCACTTGGGGTCAGGAGTTTGACACCAGCCTGGCCAACCTGGTAAAACCCCATCTCTATTGAAAACACGAAAATTAGCCAGGCGTGGTGGTGAGTGCCTGTGATCCCAGCTACTCAGGAGGCTGAGGCAGGAGGATCACTTGGACTCGGGAGGCAGAGTTACAGTGAGCCGAGATCCTGCCACCGCACTCCAGCCTGGGCGACAGAGAAAGACCCCATCTCAAAACAACAGCAACAACAACAAAACCGGGCTGGGCGTGCCTTCCCATCGGACACCCGACCTCGCAAGACTGTCATTAAAAGTCTCACTCTCGCTGTTCTCTGGGTTGTGAGTCCATTCTCTGGGTGTGGACAGGTGAGTTTGTTTCTCACAAGGTCCAGGACTTGAACTCAGGCCATGAGACCGGGCCAGGGTTGTGAGCAAAAGTGCAGCTCGTTGCGGTGCCTCCCTCGGCACCAGTGGGAGGGGAGAGGACCCTGGGGCTCGTCAGCCTGGACACGCCAGCGCTCTCAGCCGTCTCACTCAGTCCCACGAGCCCACACAGTGGCTGCCCTCAAAGGGACTTTGGAGACCACCCAGTCTTTCTTCCCAGTTTACAGACCCAGAGACTCGGGCCCAGAGAAGACAAGTGACTTTGAACAAAGCAAATTAGTGGCAATGCCCAGACTTGAACCGAGATTGGCAGAGCTTGGTGGTCTGCCACAAACCACCCTCCCCCACAGCAGGTGCGGGTGGGGGGCTCCGTTCTTCCGGTCACCACAGCATGTTACAGGTTTCTGCATCAGTGCGCCTCCTCTTAGGAAGAAACATCTCTGGGCTGGGATGGCTAGCTCCCCGCTTTCAGCCATGTAGAATTTCTCTTGGCATTTTAGTTAGAAGTGTTGTCTAGATTTCTTAAGTGTCTGAGGCTGCCCTGGCCACAGGGATGAGTTAGGGAAAATTACCGTTTCCCATGTGCGTGTGTGAAGCTCTCCATGCTCACTGAAGTCAGAGTGAGAAGCAGCAAACACGTCATCGGGAGGGTGGCCAGCAAGGCTGTGTCCTTTCACACGTCCTCAGATCATCCTTGAATCCACCCACATTCCAAATTCATTCTCAAAAATGAGATTCCAAATTTCAGGATCTATTTACAGCCAGACGATTTTGGTGCCCCCTGCTCAAAAGCTTTGATTACTCCTGTGCTTAATTAAGTCACAAATCCCTGGCCCATCATCCAAGACCACTTGTGATGTGGTTAAACCTACCTCTGTGAGTGCTAGTAAATCTACCTCTACTAGTACTAGTAAATCTACCTCTGCTAGCGCTAGTAAATTTACCTCTACCAGTACTGCCCCCCACTGTTTCCTTTTCAGGCATTCAGCTCAGTCTACGGCCCGCAGACAGATTTCCTAGAAATAACTGCTCCTACTTCTCAACTCTTAACAAAAAGGTCTCTGAAAAGGAATTTGGAGGAAACAGACTATTCCAGTGAATAGTGTACAAGCCTGGGAGATGCGGACTTTGGTGTAAAATGAAGGTGTGTTCAAAGAGCAAAGAAGGAGTTCGGGTTTTAGAGCAAAAAGCTCCTGCCCTGGGGTCCCCATTAGGTCCATGTAGGCAAATGAAGGATTGAAACGTGCTTAGTTCTGATTGGTTGGTACAGCTGGGCCCTGATGGGTTGGTTTCCAAGCCGCGAACCGGAAGTCTTTGTTAGCTGTTTCTTTCAAACAGTGGTGGGGGGCGTGAGGGGCGTGCGGGGCGTCGGGGGCGTGAGGGGCGTGCGGGGCGTGAGGGGCGTGAGGGGCGTGCGGGCGTGAGGGGCGTGAGGGGCGTGAGGGGCGTGAGGGGCGTGCGGGGCGTGAGGGGCGTGCGGGCGTGAGGGGCGTGCGGGGCGTGCGGGGCGTGCGGGGCGTGGGGGGCGTGCGGGCGGGGAGGAGGGTGGGGGCCGCTCTGGCTACAGTTTATCTTGGCACTAACAACGGGGACTGATTGGGCTTCGTTGTGAAAAGGGGGGCCCTGTGGTGCGTTTACAGAGTCTGAGAACACAGAGTTCGTGGCCACTCCCTCACCCAGCCCTGGGCACCAGGTTATGTTTTAAATTTGAGCACCTCAGCCATGGGGAACCCCTTTTGTTTGTCAGCCAGGGCATAGTTTACCAATCCCAAATCTGTAATCTCTCTCTTAACAAATCACTTTCTACCCAAATACAGATCCTTAAGGGCAGGGCCTCTGGTTCATTTTTGTCATCTCCACCTAGCGGAGAGCGCGGCACACGGCAATGATACGGGAGTGCGGGGGAAGGGAAGAGTGTGGTCCCTTTAAATGATACAGAAGGGAGGTGCTGGGTAGAGGGGGGCGTGGTCCCCGGCTAGGGCTCCACCCCCCCGGACCTGGGTGAGGACAGGCACTTCTGCCTTCTTGCCCCAATGTTGCATTTTCCAAGACCACCCTGGCCCGCCATGCCCCCATTCTGAGCCTATAAAAACCCGAGACCCTAGCAGGGCAGAGGCAGAAACTGCTGGATGCTGAGAGGAACGCATCAGTGGAAGAAAACAAGCGGCTGGACGTGGAGAGGACGTCAAGGGAGCATGCCGGCGGAAGAGCACACCACAGACGCCGGCAGGCCACCGAGCGGCAGGACCAGGCGGAGTTTGGCCGGGGCAGTCGGAGGAGAGCTAGGCCACTAAGCAGCTCAACTCCAGGAGATAAACCATCTCCCTTGTGGCTCCTCCGTCGGCTGAGAGCTGCTTCCACTCAATAACACTTTGCACTCGTTCTCCAAGCCCCCGTGTGATCCGATTCTTCTGGTACACCCAGGCAAGAACCCAGGATACAGAAAGGCCTCGGTCCTTTCCACAAGTACCTCTACTTGAGGTACTCATTGACCTGGTTAACACAAGCTGCCTACAGACGCCAAAACTAAGGGCACCCTGGAACACAGGCTTCAGCTGTAAACATTCACCCCTGGGCACTGCCGTGGGGTGGGAGCCTGCCTGAGTGTATGCTCCCCTAGAGGTTTGAGCTGCGGGGCACTGAAGAAGTGAGCCACACTCCCATCGCACACTGCGAGGGGGACAAAGGAACTTTTCCTCTTTTAACTGGGGCCTCATCTGGAATCTCGGAAGGTGAATGTCTGCCTTCGAAAACCCTACCACCTGTCTTTCTTGTGGGTAAGAGGCTGTTTTCCTTTCATCTCTTTTTTCTCTCTCACACGGTTTAAAAATGGCTCTTATCTCCTTTATAATGTTAAGAGTTTTGCTACAGGCTGCGGCAATGTTACTAAGTAGAATGAGTATTTGGCTCAGCCGCCAAAGGTGCAAATCAGACCAATTTTTCCTAGAGGTGCCATGTATGCCTCTACCTCGAGAGCCGCAGGCACACACGGCTCTGGGCACCTCTCCTTATTCTTCCCCTTCCCAGCTCGGGCACCTGGGCGTGCCCACGGCAGGCAAAGGCCAAGCCCAACAGCCACGAACCGGGCGGGAGGAAGCCGAGGGGGTAGCCGGGACCCTACAGGGAGCGCGTTGGTCAAGTGTGCCAAGGGAACCTTTCCTCCCCTGGCCAAGGAATTCAACCTGGTCTGAACTGGGGAAAGGATGGGAAAGTTATAAGAATTAGAGGGACGCAGTTGCACTAAGCAAGGGGTTCTTCCCCCAGAATCTCCCCCCTTTTTGCCCCTTAAACTGTTTTTCTCCTTTTTCCTTTTTTTTATTATTATTATACTTTAAGTTTTAGGGTACATGTGCACAATGTGCAGGTTAGTTACATATGTATACATGTGCCATGCTGGTGCACTGCACCCACTAACTCATCATCTAGCATTAGGTATATCTCCCAATGCTATCCCCCCCTCCCCCCACCCCACAACAGTCCCCAGAGTGTGATGTTCCCCTTCCTGTGTCCATGTGTTCTCATTGTTCAGTTCCCACCTGAGTGAGAATATGTGGTGTTTGGTTTTTTGTTCTTGCGATAGTTTACTGAGAATGATGATTTCCAATTTCATCCATGTCCCTACAAAGGACATGAACTCATCATTTTTTATGGCTGCATAGTATTCCATGGTGTATATGTGCCACATTTTCTTAATCCAGTCTATCATTGTTGGACATTTGGGTTGGTTCCAAGTCTTTGCTATTGTGAATAGTGCCACAATAAACATACGTGTGCATGTGTCTTTATAGCAGCATGATTTATAGTCCTTTGGGTATATACCCAGTAATGGGATGGCTGGGTCAAATGGTATTTCCAGTTCTAGATCCCTGAGGAATCGCCACACTGACTTCCACAATGGTTGAACTAGTTTACAGTCCCACCAACAGTGTAAAAGTGTTCCTATTTCTCCACATCCTCTCCAGCACCTGTTGTTTCCTGACTTTTTAATGATTGCCATTCTAACTGGTGTGAGATGGTATCTCATTGCGGTTTTGATTTGCATTTCTCTGATGGTCGGTGATGGTGAGCATTTTTTCATGTGTTTTTTTGGCTGCATAAATATCTTCTTTTGAGAAGTGTCTGTTCATGTCCTTTGCCCACTCTTTGATGGGGTTGTTTTTTTCTTGTACATTTGTTTGAGTTCATTGTAGATTCTGGATATTAGCTCTTTGTCAGATGAGTAGGTTGTGAAAATTTTCTCCCATTTTGTAGGTTGCCTGTTCCCTCTGATGGTAGTTTCTTTTGCTGTGCAGAAGCTCTTTAGCTTAATTAGATCCCATTTGTCAATTTTGGCTTTTGTTGCCATTGCTTTTGGTGTTTTAGACATGAAGTCCTTGCCCATGCCTATGTCCTGAATGGTAGGGCCTAGGTTTTCTTCTAGGGTTTTTATGGTTTTAGGTCTAACGTTTAAGTCTTTAATCCATCTTGAATTGATTTTTGTATCTTTTTTCCTTTTCTAAGTGAGAGGGCTCCCCTCCCAACTCTGTTTCTGATGGGGAAGTTAGCAGAGGACCAGCGACCCCTGCTGGCGGAGAGCTGCAAATTTGGCAGGGCACATTTGAGACACTCTCAACAGATAGAACCAGCCTCTAAAATATCTTTTCAGTCCCAAACTCGATTCCAAGCTTCAGGCTGAGGTCTTAGAAAGAAAAAACAGGTCTGAGGGATCCAAAGCCAGGGAACAGGCACAATGTAAATGGGTAGCACCAATTCCTGCTGACTAAACCCCCCACCCTATGGAAGGAGGCCATGCTTCATGGCATAAACAGGCCCAGGGAACTGAAGGTTTGCCGACAGCAGGGAGAAAGGGAGGCATAGGCAAGGGCGGTTCGTTCCTAGTCTCCAGGTTTTCCCTGCTTCATGGGTACATACCACATTAGTACCCATGGCTGGCACCTGCCAAGGTCGCCAGGGCTCAGGGATAAGGAGTGGAGACTGAAAGGATCATGCTCGCTTTCTCTCTCCATCACACCCTGAGTTTTCGCTGAAAGAAGGAAGAGAATGAGGGGCTTCTCTATTCACTGTCTCCAGTTCTCTTCAACACCCCCAGTTTATACTCCTCTGTAGTGTACCCTGAACCATCGGGACTGCTTTGACCCTCAGAATCTGCAGGAGAAACACCTCAGAGCCCTCTGCACAAAGGTTTGGCCAAATTATGAAGGACTGGGTTGGCCCTAGGAAGGAATCATTCATTTCCATACCATTCGGCTGTTGAGACTTTTCTGTAGATGTGAGGACAGATGGCCTGAGGCCCCGTATGTGCAGGGCCTTTCTATACCTTGCAAGGAAATCCAGACCTTGCCGACAGTGTAGGATTCATCCAGCCCTCCTGTTTGCCATCTCAGAGAAGGCTGCAAGGGGTAAGCCCAGGGAATTAAAGATACGAGTCCTAGAGGCACCCCGGAAAGAGAGGCCAGCTCCCTCAAGCCCTGCTCCTCTGGGTCCACCCCGACCTCCCTATCCAGCTTCAGCCTCTCACTTGGCCCCTCCTACAAATTCTCACTCTAAACAAGCCCCAGTCTCACTCTTGCTCCTCCAACAGATGCCTGGTGAATTTGGGCCAGCAAGGTCCAGGTCCCCTTCTCCTTACAGGACTTAAAGTAAATTAAGGGGGGATCTGGGCAAGTTTTCAGATGATCCTCATAGGTATATAGAGGCTTTCTAGAATTTCAACCAAATAGTTGAACTCTCCTGGAGAGAGACGTTATGTTACTTTTGAATCAGACTGTGATAGACACTGAGAAACAGGCCACTCTACAAGCTGCAGAGAGATTTGGGGATGAGCTTTGCATCACATGTAGCATCAGGAAAGGGGGTGAATATTATCCAACCGGAAGAGAAGCAGTACCAGTGAATGACCGTAAATGGGACCCCAATCATGAGATGGAAGCCGGGCGGAGGAGACACTTTCAGGTGTGCGTAATAGAAGGCTTACGTAAGACTAAGAACAAGTTGTCCATGATCAACCAGGAATTTGATGAAAATCCAATCGCCTTCTAGGAAAGGCTAAGAGAGGCCTTGGTAAAGCTCACCTCTCTCTCTCCTGGTTCAGTTGAGGGACAGTGAATCCCAAAGCATAACTTTATTACTCAGGCGGCTCCTGACATCAGGAGGAAGTTGCAAAAACTGGGCCATTGGACCAGATAGTACATTAGAGGACCTCCTAAAAGTGGCCACCTCAGTCTTTTATAATAGAGACGGAGGCCCAGGACAGTGAGAGGAGACACAGGAAAGAGACAAAAGCTTCAGTGGCCACCGTGTACGTCCACAAACCCCAGAATTCCCAGGGTGCACCTGTTAACTGCTAAAGATATGGCAAGAATAGTTACTTCATTCTAAAGTTTATTTGCTCTTGTACAAGGTTTAATTTCTTGCACCAGGGGTGAAACAGCTCAGGGTGCAACTTTGCTGTTAGTATATTTCACTTCTTATCTTTGTGATCTTTGGGAGTACATTCTTTCTTTTTATAACACACATGTTTAACCCATGCATACTTAACCTTATAAAACCTGGGTTTTTTTTTTTCTCTCATGCCTAGAACCATCAAACTCCAAGTGGACAGGCAACTGGAGCCTCAGATAATGACTCCCCTTTGCTAGGAACCCTTAGACAGACCTCTGGGAGGAATTTGACTGCCGTTTTCTCAAAAACAACGCCCCCTGTCAGCGGGAAGCAGCTAAGACAGGTCATCGTCCATATTCTAATAGCAGTTAGATGTACGTTTTCAGAGAGGGGAAATGATACAGGAGTGCGGGGAAGGGAAGAGTGTCATCTCTTTAAATGATACAGAAGGGAGGTGCTGGGTAGAAGAGGGTGTGGTCCCTGGCTAGGGCTCCACCCCCACGGACCTAGGTGAGGGCAGGCACTTTCTCCTTCTCACCCAAATGTTGCATTTTCCAAGATCACCCTGGCCTGCCATGCCCCCATCCTGGGCCTATAAAAACCCTGAGACCCTAGCAAGGCAGAGATAGAAGCTGCCGGATGCTGAGAGAAACACATCAGTGGAAGGGAAGAAGAAAAGCGGCTGGACATGGAGAGGACGTCAGTGGAGCATGCCGGCGGAAGAGCACACCCACAGACCCTGGCACGCCGGCAGGCCACGTAGCGGCAGGCCACGTAGCGGCAGGCCACGTAGCGGCAGGCCACGTAGCGGCAGGCCAAGGCGGAGTTTGGCCGGGGCAGTCGGAGGAGAGCTAGGCCACTAAGCAGCTCAACTCCAGGAGAAAACCATCTCCCTTCTGGCTCCTCCATCAGCTGAGAGCTGCTTCCACTCAATAACACTTCGCACTGATTCTCCAAGCCCAGGTGTGATCCGATTCTTCTGGTACACCCAGGCAAGAACCCAGGATACAGACAGCCCTCTGTCCTTTTGATAACTAGAGGGTCTCATTGACCTGGTTAACACAAGCTGCCTACAGACGGCAAAACTAAAAGAGCACCCTGGAACACACGCCCACTGGGGCTTCAGCTGTAAACATTCACCCCTAGACACGGCTATGGGGTTGGAGCCTGCCTGTCTGTATGCTCCCCTAGAGGTTTGGGCAGCAGGGCACTGAAGAATCAAGCCACACCCCCATCGCACACCCTGCGAGGGGGACAAGGGAACCTTTCTCTTTTCAGTTGGTCTTAATAAACACTGAGTAAATGAATGATTACGCACTCAGAAAAATCAGTTATCCTCTCCCACTCCGTGCCTGGGAAGTACCAACGGGTACTGAAACGTAATGAGTAATGTCTAGAGATTTTCTCCACAGGATAGAAACAAAGCTCAAAGAGGCAGCAAGTTGAAGAAAGTGTGACACTGTTTTATTTTTAGGATTTTTTCCTCTTTTTTAAAATAAATATACGTGTAGAGAGACAGGGTCTCCCTTTGTTGCCCAGGCTGATCTCGAACTCCTGAGCTCAAGCTGTCCTCCCACCTCAGCCTCCCAAGGGCTGGGATCACTGGCATGAGCCTCTGCACCCAGCCCTTAGGATTTTTTTTTCTTTTTTAAAATTTTAATTATTTTATATATATTTTTAAGTTCCAGGGTACATGTGCAGGATGTGCAGGTTTGTTACATAGGTAAACGTGTGCCATGGTGGTTTGCTGCACCTGTCACCCTGTCACTAGGCATGAGGACCAGCATGCATTAGCTCTTTTCCCTAATGTTCTCCATGCCCCCTGGCCCAGCCCTCTCCCAACAGGCCCCAGTGAGTGTTGTTCCCCTCCCGGGATTTTTTTTCTTAAGGAAACACACCACATCAGGCGTTGAAGTGAGTGTATTGACTGTCTGAGGTTTGTGTGCACTTTTTAACCAGAAGTCATGGCTGGGGACACAAAAGCACCTCCTTGCCTATGTAGTTTTGTTCCTTTACTGCTTTAAACAAGCAAGATGTGGTTTGCATTCCTTTCGCTGCTGGTGTTGTTGGCTTTGTGTTTCTCAACAGAAATAACTTGCCTTGCCTTTGCTCTCAAGGTTGTGAAAGCCCCCCACCCCCATATGTTCCTTCCACTCATTTGTCACCGAGACCCTCAGTGTTGCTATCTGTGCATAATGTGTGTGGGTCGGGTTGTGTCAAGCATCAGACGACGTCGGTACCTCTCCTCACTGTGAAGGATGACCCTGTACACACCACTGCTCTAGGCAAGGATGCGACCCACCGTCCCGGGGTTAACCACATCAGTGTCACCATCACAAGGGGGTGACAGCCCTTTACAGATTACATCTCCTTTTCCTGGTGATTCTCCCTCTTAATCCCTAAATGAGTCCTGCAAGATGGGTGTTGATTCTTCCTATAGCACAGCTGAAAGAGTTGAATGGCTCGTCCTAGAGCACACAGTTTGGCAGGGCTGAGTAAAATGAAACCCAGTGCTTGTCCCTCCAGGCTGCGGCGAACCTGCACTAGAGTTTTATGAAAGTCCAACTTCCTGGCGATAGGCAGAAAAAGCAACGATCACCTTCCCTGATATTTTCACCTAGCAGACAGTCTTCAGCCCAGAGAACATCTTCCCAAAGTCCAAGACAGAAGGTACATGTAGAAATGAAATAGAGGTTCCTCTTCAAAGGGACTTTCCTCCCAGTCTAATTCAGAATAGATAGTAACCTCTTCTAGAAGCAAAGTTTACTCAAAGACCTGTGTTAATATTCTTAAATTCTGCTAGCTGTAATAAAGAAATCAATATACTCTGTTCTTAGCTCCCACATTTTAGTCTAGGTATTTGCCCTGGCATGCCTGAACCAGTCCAAGCAAGAATTAGGTCATAGCCTCTTCCTCTTCCTTATTTGGAAGTGTTTTTGCCTCTCTCAGCATTCCACAAGTTACTTCCTCTCTTCCTTTGTTCTCCTCTGCCTTTGCCTCTTTTGGGAAGTTCTAAGTTGCTAGCCAATCGAGACAAACAGAATGTAAGGTCCCATTCCAGCCGATAGAAACTGGGCACAGCAGTAGGGTAGCTGCGTCAGGTTATAAATGACCCTGTCTTTTTTTGTGTGTGCTCTTGTGGCAAGACTGCTAGCGAGCGGCACCCTTTCTGCAGAAAGTAAACTAGCCTTGCTGAGAGATCCTTTGTCTCAGTGTTGATTTCTGCAACACCGAGCACCCGTTCCCAACAGTAAATGTGTCTGCCTGTGTGTGTACACATCCACCCATCAGCCACAACCCTATGCCTGAAGCCAGGCACTAGAATGAAATTCTCAGGGTCATGTCATGTTTCAGATTTCAAGTCTCACTTCCCGCACCTGTTACCATTTGGGTCTATGTCTCCCTCCCAGATCATCCTCTGATTCTACCAGAGCCAAACCCGGAACCCTCTGCTCATTTCACCCTTTCAACACACATTTTCCAGGCACTTCTGCTGCTCAGCATCTCCCAAGGGTGAGCCCTGAGCTCTTGCAGGGATGAATGCTTTCCATGGCTTTTCTGTCTGCCTGCAGTTACAACCCCTGATCTCTGGGGACAGGACCTGCCAGGTCTGTCTGGAGAATACCCATGTGAGACTGAAACTGGCTTCTCCCACTCTCAGCCCCAGTGACCTGCTCTGTAAGGCTGGTTATAGGTGTGGCTGCTGCCCCTGCCCAAATGCTTTAGGTTTCCCTCCTGGGATTCTCCTGCCCCTCTAAGCAGCTCTCCAGGGGACCCCATCCTGACAAAGAAAGCAGAAAATGGAGTTCCTGATGAGAAAAGAACTGTTCTGTGAGGAACACAAGTCCTTTTACATGATCGGGCACAGAGAGATGTGGAGAGGGGACAGGAGTCCTGTCCTTCTCCCTCTGAGCTGTGTGTTCATCTTCAGGAGCTGCGTGCGATGACCATGAGGAGCCACTAACTAACAAATCATGCCCACCGGATGCTGCAACCTGCACCACGTAGCTTAGCAGTGTTATTTCTGTGAGCCAGCGAGACTCCCGACAAGCAGCTTTGTGTCGGCCTGCTCCATGTCACCCTCTTTTGCCTTAAAAACCTGCCTATAATGAAGGCCAAAGAAAGCAAGCTCATGGCCGGGAAGCTCACAGCCAGGCGTACGTGGGTGTGAGTCTTCTGGGCTGCTGTCCTCACCCTGGCTCAAGTCAACTCTTTAAGTTAGACTTCATGCCTCAGCCTCTTCCTTTTAGGTGAACACTGATGGGAATACAGGAAGGGCCCCCATCCTTCCCTGTCTGAAGCTCAGACTCCGCATGAGAGGACTTCCCACTCCATCTCAGGATGGAGACAGCCTGCTGAGGATGCAGCTTTGTCCAATGAGGTCAGGAGGGCTGGTGGCAGCGTCTGTTAATTCCGTTGGGGCAGCCAGTGGCAACTGGCAGTTATTCCAGCTGAGGATGCTGGGATGGATTTTTTTTTTTTTTTTTTTTTTTTGAGACAGGGTCTTCCTCCGTCATCCAGGCTGGAGTGCAATGGCATGATCTCGACTCACTGCAGCCTCAACCTCCTGGGTTCAAGCAACTCTTCTGCCTCAGCCTCCCAAGAAGCTGGGATTACAGACGTGCACCACCAAGCCTGGCTAATTTTTGTATTAATAGAGGGTTTCACCGTGTTGGCCAGGCTGGTCTCGAACTCCTGACCTCGTGATCCTCTGCTTCGGCCTCCCAAATTGTGGGGATTACAGGCGTGAGCCACCGCACCTGGCCTGGGACGGAATTTTAAGTGAACTGCGGCCCTTAGCTCATGAGCCCAGCTTCGGTGTCTGATGAAACGACACCGCAGGGATGGGGGAGAGGGGAAGATTCGCAGGTCACGCCGAAACCTCTGGTTAGCCCCGGCTTCCACATCCTTCCCAAAATCTTTAGCCCAAGTGCCGCACAGCCCCTTTTGCATGTCTTCCCCACTCCTTGGTGGCAGAGGCCCCTGTTGGTAAAGCAACAATAGAGAAGTGGAGAAGATAAAGAGCTGTGAAAACTGCCCCAGAGAAGCTGCAAGAAGCTTTGCTGGAATCAGGTTTTGCATCTCCGAATCGGAGCTCCATTTGTTGGGTCGGGGACCATGCTTAGTGGTTCAAGAACTGACAGAAGAGGTGTTTGCAAAATGCTTGTTGGGAGGATAAACAGCTAAAGGAAATTTTATCTGAGCCTGAGAACCGCCTGCACCAGCACAAAAGTAAAGCCCCAGCGCCCTCGGGCCAGGCCTGCTGGAAAAATTCCCATGTGTCAGCCCCAGGAAGACGTGGGCAAGATGAGGCGTATCCTGACCAACGCAGGAAATGGCCCTGCTCTTCTGCTGGCCCCTCTTCCACCATCGAGGCCGCTCATCCAAGCGGCGGGAAGTAAGAGGGTCAACTTTTGCACGGCCATTGAGAGGTTTCCTGGAAACCTGGCTCTCTCCCCACCGTTGCCCCATGAGCATGGTGGTGACGAGCTTGGGCTCTGAGATCAGAAAGTCTCAAGTGTGAAACCTCAGTCTTCTTCCTTATTAGCTGTGAGACTTTGGGCAAATTACTTAACCTCTCTGAACCTTAGTTTCCTCAAACTGTAAAATGGGGCAAATGTTGGGTGACACTCAGCATAACGTCAGAAATAGTGCCCAATAAATGTTGATCTCATCGGCCCCACAGCCCATTCCGCCACTCTCTTCTTTCTCTTCCTCCCCACAACCCAATTTCATCATTGCCTACAAACAGCCACAGGATAGAACTCGGGACAGTTCGGGACAGCTCTGGACAGCCCAGAGGTTATTTACAAGTCTAAGAGCAATCAGTGTGTCCTGCCCAACTGCCCAGCTGTTTGAAAAGCACAGTAAGAAGCTGGTGCTGTCCATAAGCCACATAGCTTTCTAGGAATGACAGGGGTGTGGATTTACAAAGTCACTCTTGACCCTTTAAAATAACACAACTATTTTCTGCTCCCACCATATCTCAAGTGGCACCCAGATTGTGAGGCCTTCCATCCAGTGAGTAGTGTCAGCTGGAGAGGTGGTGACTGATTTAGGGCTCCGGTTTAGGGCTGAACCAGGGTCAGCTGCTTCTTTGTGTGTTGGTCCCCTTCTGCGGAAAGCAAAGGGATTGGACCAGATGATCGTGAAAGAACCTTCCGATGTTAAGATGTAGAGTTTCGATGGTTCCATGATAGAGAGGGATCACAGAAAAGCTCCACAAAGCTTAACCTCCCAGGGGGACAATTACAATAATGTGAAGTTAATGCTAACACAGGATAGTTTGATGTGGGTGTGACGGCATAGGGAGGTCGGGGGCCTGGAGGCTTCTCAGACTCATTCTCAGCACCAGATGTGGCATCAGGAACAGCCTGAAGGGAGGCTAAGGGATCCCGCCCTCTCCCCAGCTCTGAAGATGCCTCCACAGTGAAGAAGAGACAGGGAGCCCCCAACTCTGCACTTTCACTGGCTACTCCCACACTGCGGGGCAGGGGAGGAGGAAGACCCCAACACCTCCCACCACCGCTACAGACCCCGACCAAACGTCAGTTCTCACCTGCGCCACCGCCCCAACCACCCCTGAGAGCCATTAGGTGACAGTTGTGCTTCACCCGCAAAAGGTCTTCCTTTGCCAATTTTTGTCACAAGTTTTTGCATATTGTTTGCATAAATTTGCAGGTAGGATTCAAAAGGTCCTGATTCCAATTACACAAGAGAAAACACACTGACTGCAAGTGCAGTTGAAGAAGGTTCTCAGAAGGGCACGCTGGAACCGCTCCCCGGTGCCAGGAGAGGTGTTTGAACTACGTGCTGCTGGGGCGCCCAGACGGGCTTCCCCACGATCCAGGAAATCAGAGCTTTTGCAACGTTGGCTTGAAATCGTGGCTAACAAGACAGAAAAGTGCTCTTCTCAACCCCAGGGGAAGACTGGGGAGGTGGGCGGGGCCCCAGGGCCCACTGATTCCATCCAAGAGGGGGCATGGAAGGACAGCGGCGAGCCCACGTCTGGAGCTTCTCCCTCCTGTGAAAGGCAAACAGAATCCTGAGATGCCAAACTCACTGTTCCAAAGGGAAAGGGAAAGCTTGGAAATGGCGTCACGCAAAACCTGCCTCTCAGGAGAACCAGTCTGTTTCTGAACAGAGAGCTTGCAAGACGGCCGGCCATGTATCTCCCCGGGAGGCCTCCCACACTCTGACAGTGTCGATGAGCAGCTGATCCTCGCGAGTGTGGGACAAAAGACTAGGGCTTGCTTTTATTTTTGTTCAGGGACACAGAGCCAACACCACCAGCTACTAAAGGAATAAAACCACATCTTGCTTGTTTAAAGCAGTAAAGGAACAAAATTGCATAGGCCAGGAGGTGCTTTTGTGTCTCCAGCCGTGACTTCTGGTTAAACACTCGAGAAAAACACAGGCTTGGCTTTTTCTTCTTTTCTGTGTCTACTCTATCTGACGTCAGATGCAGGTTTGCTGAGTGCCAGGTGAGTGCCTAAAGGGCTGTTCCCCCACCTCCCCCTTTCACTTGCAACGTGCACTCAGTGCGTGCTAATTAAAGCCTCCCAGGAGCCTGACCACTGGCCTCATTGCCCACCCACCGTCTTCTCTCTCCCCCTTCCCCCTGCCCTCTCCTCTCCTCCTCTTTTAAATACTCAGCACCTCAAAATGCTCTCTGGAAAAGGCCTGGCCACAGGTCCTGCTGTGACTGGTGCCACTTTTTCCTGGGCAGATTCTCAACCTTGGCATCATAACCCTCTAAGCTGACTGAGACCTGGCTCAGACACTTTCAGTTTTGTGCTCCAAACACTGAGTGGTAACTTTACCCAGAAGTTCTTAGATTTTCAGCCACTCAAGCCAGGCTCTGATTTCCAAAATAAGTCCAGATCTAGAACAGTTTGGGGAATGAAGGGATCTGGCTGAGAGATGGGAGTTGGAACAGTTGCGACACCGTCAGCCTCACATGAACAGAAACAAATTACTCAAACAAGAGAAGAGCAAGGCCCAACTGGAAAAGCATGTGGGTGAGTCTGCAAACCAAAAAAGTACCCGACCCAGGCCTCGATCAATGGAGAAGTTTATTTTGCCAAGGCTAAGGATGCACCCAGGAGACAGGTCTGTGCCTCTCTCCCAAGATGATGTTGAAGGCTTCAGTCAAGGGGAAAAGCCGGCTGGAGGGGGCAGAGGGAGGAGGGTGTGGTCACATGACTGATTGCTCCATGCTGCAGGAGAAAAGGAGCAGGTGGGAACAGTCAGTTACCTGTTTATCTCGTGCTCAGTAAATTGGCACTTTCCATGAGATAAGGGGCACACAGAGCAGCCACTAGTGGAGATGCTGACCCTCTCATCTGCAGCTGTCTGCTTAGGGCAAAGGGAAAGGCAGCTTCCTGCAGGACTCAGCTTTCAGCTTTTTTCTTCTTGGTTGAGTGAATTGGGGTGTCGAGTTTTTAATCTTCCTTTCACAGGTGCTGACCCAATGAGGCCAATCATGTGTGATTGGGACCTTCTGAGTGACTTGGTGGAAAGCAGGGCCCAACCCTCCTGCCCAGGACGCTTGGGAAAGCCTTGCTGGCTGGACGGAGGGGAAGGAGGCTCTCGGCGACTGCCCCCAGAGGGGAGTGGCTCTCCACTGGCCACAGCGATGGCTGGAGTGAGACCTGAGCCCCGGAAAAACACGAAGGTCCCAAAGCCGGCAAAAGTAGACACTGAGTTTATTATTTGCCAGACAAGGGGAGGCTTCCATTTCATTACGAAAGGTCAGGAGTGCTCTCTGAGCTGAAGGTGAACAGACAGCTGCGGTGTAGGAAATAGGAAGTTTTGTCCACAGTTCTGATTGGCGGAAAAAGCACATTGTAAACTCTCTGAGGATCGCTCCTGTTCCGATTTGTGTTGCAGAAGCAGGAGCACCGTTCCTGGAAGACCGTGGCAGGTGTGGTCTGGGCTGCGTGGCCCCGGAGCCTGCTGTCTGAGCCTCTTCTCATGGAGTGGGGGTGGTTTCTCTGGCACCTACATGGGTTAAGAGGGAGGACCCCTGGGGCCTTGCGCCCATCACCCCCTCTCATCCTCACTGCCTGTGACGGACAGACAAGCAGCTCTCCCAGCTGCAGAGACAAGATGACCACAGGAGAGCCAGCAGAGGATGCTGTTACCAGGGAGCTAGGACAGCCAGCACACAGGCAGACGGAGGCACGCAGCCTGAGTCCCAGTCAGCTGGAGGACATGTGATTAAAATGCTGCTGAATAGGGAAAAAATCCCGGGCCCAGAAGTTGAGGTCCCTGTGGGTGGGGCCGTGGGGAGGGGGTGCGACCCAGGCCATGCCCAGGCTTGTGATTTCTGACCTCGCGCTAGTGCATTTACGGGTAAACTGAGGCTGGGAGGGAAGCCTCTCTCTGTATGGGGAGGTGGTCCTCTGTCCGTGTCCGTGGTGAGGGGCTGTGCCCACCCGCTGCCTAGAGAGGAGCACCGGTGCTTTTGTAAAGAGCAGTATAAATACACTTCCGTTCAGATAAAACACAATAAATAGGTGGCGGCAATGGCGGGACGGCACCACACCTGCTCAGGCGGCCGGACGCACACTGCAGGAGTGGCTGGCGAGAGGCCAGCCGCAGGGACATGAACCGAGGTCCTGTTGTTTGAGGTAAAAATGTATAGAAACGGTTCCTTGACAGCGAAATCCCCGCTTGACACTCAGATGGGCGAGCACTGGCAGGGGCTCTGGGCCTCTGCCTGCAAGACCAGACCGTCACTGGGGCTGTGGCTCAGAAGGACTCAGAGGTGGATGGATGTCCCTGCCCGAACCAGGGCCGCAGATGGCCCCACCTGCACCCTGCCTGATGCCCAGGCCCGGGATGCCCTAGGCTGGGCCCACCTGGACGTCCAGGGTCAGTTGGGGGAGGTGCTGGGGTCCCGCCCCACCTGGCCACCCCAGTTGCTGCCGGGCAGCCGCGGCCTCAGCGTGTCCTCAGCCGCAGGACCCTGGAGAGGGGCTCCTTGGCGCTGGAGTAGATGAGGTAGGCACCAGCCGTGGTGCTGAAGGCCTCCCAGTCCCTGCAGCCGACGGTGGGGAGGCTGTGCACCGCCACGAAGCCCTCGTAGCCCTGCCACCTGCGGAACAGACAGCGGCAGCCGGGTCAGCCTGGGCTCTGCGGGGCAGCTCCTCTCCCCCGGCTCCCACCCGCGCTGTCAGGGACCCAGCAGCTCTGGGTCACATCTGAGCCTCTTCCATCCCCCCGACTGGCACAGCGTGGGGAGATCGATTCTGGGCCATGAGGGCCTTCTCATCTTGCAAAGCAGGAGGCTGAGGCCCAGAAGAGGAAAGATTCCAGATCTCACCAAGATCCCAGCGCTACCTCCTATCCACCCAAGATCCTAACCCCGGGGACCCCCAAACGTGCAGTTCCGAGGGTCGGCCTCAATCGTGAGGTGCGTGACTTTCCCCAGGGCCCCCCTCAAACACACGCAGGCCACCACGCAGGCTGGAACCCCTCCGTCCTCAGATACAGGAGCCCAGCTCTCTGCCCGCTGCTCTGCGGCCCCACGTCAGGGGCTGCCCCAGGCCCTCATTCTTGCTCTGGGCGGCTGCTGGCCGCCAGGGTTTGCCTTCAAAAGGACTCATTTATCCCAGGAGCTTCCATTTCCGAGGCGTGGAGTCCCCAAGGCAGGGCGCCGACATCAAAGGGCACGAGTTGTTTACATTTAATATTAAATAATAAAGTATGAAAATAAATTCTTCCAGACTGCTTTCTGGAAAAACCGTGGTGGCTTCTGCTCTCACGGGAAAGGGCAGGGTGGGGTCCCCCTGGGATCCCCCAACCCACTCCACTGCCCATCTTTAACACACTTCCAAACAAATGGGGGAGAACCTGGCAGGGTTTTGCTTTGAGGACAAATCCCTTATAATGTTTATTCACACTGTTCATCTTTTCTTCTAAAAATTCATATTTATATCTTTTGTCCATTTTTCCAAATTTAAAGACACATTTTTTATTAGTTTGTAAGGGTTGGTTTTCTGTCGTGTGTGTGGTAAAGAGTTTGTCTTTTGCTTTTGAATAGGATGTCTGTTTCCATAGAAAGCTTTTAACACAGGTGGTCGACCCAGTGCCTTTCCTTCTGGGCTTGTCTTCTTCATAGAACCCTGAGGTTATACAACTGCCTTCAGCTTTTCTTCTTTTTCACATTTGGACTTTTAATCCATATAACATTTATTTTTGTGTACAATGTGAAGTGGGGGTAAGCTTTGTTTTCTTCCAGATTACATGAAGCTAATCTCCCGAATCATATGGAGTTATCAAGTAAAACCCATCCTTTTCTCATTGCCTTCAAATATAGCATTTATGGCCGGGCGGGGTGGCTTACGCCTATAATCTCAGCACTTTGGGAGGCTGAGGCGGGCAGATCACTTGAGGTCAGGAGTTCGAGAACAGCCTGGCCAACATAGTGAAACCCCATCTCTATTAAAAATACAAAAATTAGCCAGGCATGGGCTAGGCGCAGTGGCTCATGCCTGTAATCCCAGCACTTTGGGAGGCCGAGGCGGGCAGATCACAAGGTCAGGAGATCGAGACCATCCTGGCTAACACAGTGAAACCCCATCTCTACTAAAAAATACAAAACAATTAGCCAGGTGTGGTGGCAGGTGCCTGTAGTCCCAGCTACTCAGGAGGCTGAAGCAAGAGAATGGCGTGAACCCAGGAGGCGGAGCTTGCAGTGTGCCGAGACTGGGCCACTGCACTCCAGCTTGGGCGACAAAGCGAGACTCCATCTCCAAAAAGAAAAAATAAAATTAGCCAGGCATGGTTGGCCCATGCCTGTGGTCCCAGCGACTAGGGAGGCTGAGGTGGGAGGATTGCTTGAGCCTGGGAATTTCAGCCTGCAATGAGCTGAGGTTATGCCACTGCACTTCAGCCTGGGCTACAGAGTGAGACCCTGTCCCCCCCAAAAAATAAATAAGAAGGAGATATTATTAAAAAGGTACCCAGGCCCAGATGGCTTTATAACTGAATTTAACCCAGCTGTCAGAAATGAGAGAAAAAATCCTATTCTTCAGACTATCCCAGTCCACAGGTGCAGTTAGAAAGCCCTGCAGTGTGTATTTACTGTTAGGCTTCATTTTAAACTGGATAAAGTTAAGTCCCCAAAAGAAAACCACCGAGCAATCTAATTTCCTATTATAGATGCTAAAAGCTTAAAGACAGGCAATTGGAAGCCAGTGGCTTATTCAATAATTCTGCATCATCACCAAGTGGCATCGGGTCTAATAACGCGAGGAGATGTCTCACTATAAATCATGACATCAACAGTAAACATAGTGGACCGCACCACGCACTCACAGATGCCAAAGGAGACCTCAGCCCTGGCCCGGATGGCCCACAGCCCATCAAACGGCCATGCTCAGATGTGCTCGTTAAATTAGAGCAAGGTGGGACAGCTGCCACTTCTGCCGCCATCCAAGATTGTTCTGGAATCTTTAGCTAGGGAAGCAAGCTACATAATCAATTAGAACACTAGAAATCAAGGGGAAATGTTCTTTATTCTCAGAGGTAATTACATTCCTAAGTCCCCTGAGAATCTTTTTAAGAAAAGCTATTAGAACTGATTGGTTAGGGGGCGAGAAAATGATTGTCATGATGAGCAGCTGCAAATGAAAGTTAAAAAGCCAACCCCATTCGTTAAACGTACGATACTTGGAAAACTCCTGGAAATAAATGAGAACACCACAGTGTCTATGAGAGAAAAATTAAATATCAACAACTCCCATGTTAGGATGTCCACACGCCGCATCCCTGACAGAATCCAAAGGCAGAAGCACCAGCACTCGTGGGTTGTGGCTACACCCGGGGCAGGGCCCCAGCTCAGATCCCACACGGGTGCAGCCAGCGCCGGGCCATCCACTGGGCCCAGCCAATCTCGGAAATGACACCTGACTTGGGACTCGCTGTGAGCCGGTGGCACCTGCGAGAGAAGGTGAGCCCCCGGGGGGAAGCAAGGCTCTGGGAGGAGGCCGGCCTCGGTGAGCCCTTGGGGGGAAGCAAGGCTCTGGGAGGAGGCCGGCCTCGGTGAGCCCTCGGGGAAGTAAGGCGCTGGGAGGAAGCTGGCCTCAGTGAGCCCTCGGGGAAGCAAGGCTCTGGGAGGAAGCTGGCCTCGGTGAGCCCACAGTGGGGAAGCAAGGTGCTGGGAGGAAGCCGGCCTCGGTGAGCCCTCGGGGGGAAGCAAGGCTCTGGGAGGAAGCTGGCCTCGGTGAGCCCTCAGGGGGAAGCAAGACTCTGGGAGGAGGCCGGCCTCGGTGAGTCCTCGGGGGGAAGCAAGGCTCTGGGAGGAGGCCGGCCTCGGTGAGCCCTTGGGTGGAAGCCGGCCTTGGTGAGCCCACAGGGGGGAAGCAAGGCGCTGGGAGGAGGCCGGCCTTGGTGAGCCCACGGGGGGAAGCAGTGTGCTGGGAGGAAGCTGGCCTCGGTGAGCCCTCGGGGGGAAGCAAGGCTCTGGGAGGAGGCCGGCCTTGGTGAGCCCTCGGGGGGAAGCAAGGCTCTGGGAGGAAGCCGGCCTCGGTGAGCCCTCGGCGGGAAGCAAGGCTCTGGGAGGAGGCCGGAGTTGGTGAGCCCTCGGGGGGAAGCAAGGCTCTGGGAGGAAGCCGGCCTCGGTGAGCCCTCGGGGGGAAGAAAGGCTCTGGGAGGAGGCCGGCCTTGGTGAGCCCTTGGGGGGAAGCCGGCCTTGGTGAGCCCACAGTGGGGAAGCAATGTGCTGGGAGGAAGCTGGCCTCGGTGAGCCCTCAGGGGGAAGCAAGGCGCTGGGAGGAGGCCGGCCTTGGTGAGCCCTTGGGGGGAAGCCGGCCTTGGTGAGCCCACAGCGGGGAAGCAAGGCTCTGGGAGGAAGCCGGCCTCGGTGAGCCCTCGGCGGGAAGCAAGGCTCTGGGAGGAGGCCGGAGTTGGTGAGCCCTCGGGGGGAAGCAAGGCTCTGGGAGGAAGCTGGCCTCGGTGAGCCCTCGGGGGGAAGCAAGGCGCTGGGAGGAGGCCGGCCTTGGTGAGCCCTTGGGGGGAAGCCGGCCTTGGTGAGCCCACAGGGGGGAAGCAATGTGCTGGGAGGAAGCTGGCCTCGGTGAGCCCTCGGCGGGAAGCAAGGCTCTGGGAGGAGGCCGGAGTTGGTGAGCCCTCGGCGGGGAAGCAAGGCTCTGGGAGGAAGCCGGCCTCGGTGAGCCCTCAGCAGGAAGCAAGGCTCTGGGAGGAAGTTGGCCTCGGTGAGCCCTTGGGGGGAAGCTGGCCTTGGTGAGCCCACAGTGGGGAAGCAAGGCTCTGGGAGGAAGCCGGCCTCAGTGAGCCCACAGTGGGGAAGCAAGTCTCTTGGAGGAGGCCGGCCTTGGTGAGCCCACAGTGGGGAAGCAAGACTCTGGGAGGAAGCCGGCCTCGGTGAGCCCTCGGGGGGTAGCTGGCCTCGGTGAGCCCTCAGGGGGAAGCAGGGCTCTGGGAGGAAGCCGGCCTCGGTGAGCCCTTAGGGGGAAGCAAGGCACTGGGAGGAAGCTGGCCTCGGTGAGCCCTCGGGGGAAGCAAGTCTCTTGGAGGAAGCTGGCCTCGGTGAGCCCTCGGGGGAAGCAAGGCTCTGGGAGGAAGCTGGCCTCAGTGAGCCCACAGTGGGGAAGCAAGGCTCTTGGAGGAGGCCGGCCTCGGTGAGCCCACAGTGGGGAAGCAAGGCTCTGGGAGGAGGCCGGCCTCGGTGAGCCCACAGTGGGGAAGCAAGTCTCTTGGAGGAGGCCGGCCTCGGTGAGCCCACAGTGGGGAAGCAAGTCTCTTGGAGGAGGCCGGCCTCGGTGAGCCCACAGTGGGGAAGCAAGTCTCTTGGAGGAGGCCGGCCTCGGTGAGCCCACAGTGGGGAAGCAAGTCTCTTGGAGGAGGCCGGCCTCGGTGAGCCCACAGTGGGGAAGCAAGGCTCTGGGAGGAGGCCGGCCTCGGCAGCTCATTACCTGTAAATAATACTGTTCACCGAGAAGGTACGCCCATCGAAGGAGTTGGCCACCACCAGGAAATAATCTTCTCCCACCGAGAAAAACTCCCAGTCCAGAGCACTGCAGGAACAAGTGGGTGGATATTAGGACACAACAGACATCGCCAGGGAACTGGGGGATTGGCCAGAAGCTACCTCCAAAATTTATAGAGGAGGAGCCGGGGCCAAAGTGGGGAGTGATTTTCTCACAGTCACATATGTGTTGGTCTATTCCAGGAAAATGTAAATTAGTTGTTTGCTTAAAAAAAATTTCAAATTTTATTTTATTTTATTTTTGAGATGGAGTCTCATTCTGTCACCCAGGCTGGAGTGCAGTGGCGAGATCTCGGCTCACGGCAACCTCTGCCTCTCGGATTCAAGCGATTCTCCTGCCTCAGCCTCCCGAGTAGCTGGGATTACAAGTGTGCGGCACCACGCCCGGCTAATTTTTGTATTTGTAGTACAGACAGGGTTTCACCATGTTGTCCAGGCTGGTCTTGAACTCCTGACCTCAAGTGATCTGCCCACCTCAGCCTCCCAAAGTGCTGGGATTACAGGCATGAGCCACCATGCCTGGCCTCAAATTTTAAATTATGGTAAAATACATATAACATAACATTTCCCACCTCAACCATCTTTAGGTGCACAGATCAGGGGCATTAAGCACATTCATACTGCTGTGTGGCCGCCCCCACCATCCACCTCCAGAACGCCTTCATCCTGCAAAACCGAAGCTCTGCACCCAGTAAACATCACCCCCTCCCCCCTCCCCCCCCCCCCCCCCCCAGCCCCGGCACCCACCACGCCACTTTCTGTCTCTATGAATTTGACCACTCTAGGGACCTCATATGAATGGAATCGCACGGTATTTGTCCTTTGTGTCTGCCTTAGCTGAGACTCCAGTGACTCAAGGTTCATCCGTGTCGCACTGTGTGTCAGAATCGCCTTCCTTTCTAAGGCCGAGTAACGCTCCGCTGTGTGAATGGACACGTTGTGTTTGTCCATCCGCTGACAGACACTTGGGGAATTTCCTCCATGTGGCTACTGTGAATGCTGCTGCTATGAACACCGGGGTACAAAAGTCCACTTTTAAGAGGTTGAAACAATCAGAGAAAAAGTCTCAGGCTGCTGGTGCCTGCTGGAGGCAGGAGCTTGGTTTCCCGCTCTGGACACTGTGCAGAAATGGCGTCACAGTGCTGTGGCCTCTGTGCCTGGTTTCTTCTCTCAGCATTGTGTCTTCAGCTGTGAGGTCAGCGGCCGTGAGGTCACTCCAGGAGGTGCCTACAGGACCTGCAGGACCTGCTCGTTCACAGATGTTCTCCTAGAAGCAGAAGCTGTTTCTTGTTGCAAACAAATTTGCTGTGTCCTGTCTTAGGAGTCTCACCTGAATTTACCAAGGATGCATCTGTGCTTGGGGATGGCTCGGTTTGAGGGGTCTGAGGAGCGGCTCCCCTGGATCCTTTCCTCCCCAGGAGCCCACCTGCCGAGCTGTCAGCGTCAGCCCCACATCTCAAGATGAGGAAATGGAGGTCGAAGCCATGCACACGCAGGCGTCCTGCTGACATGCAGGCCAGGCGGGTGCCTCTGTATTCAGCAGCCTCAGGGCTGTGGCCAGTTCAGGCAGCAGAGGGGCCTCATCCCGGTGCTTCCCTGCAGGCAGTTGTGGGGCCGGCCTGCAGCAGGGGCTCAGACAGGGCCTTGGGAGAGGGAGGGATCACAGAGGTGTCCAGTGACAGGCAGGGCGGGCAGAGCCCATGGGGCCTTGGGCTCCTCACTCCTTCGGTCAGTCAGGGTGACATCTGGAGCCACCTCCATTAATGGTGGGTTATGATTTGGTTCCCATGCAGCCCGTGCCAGCTCGC
The DNA here is from genome assembly GCF_000001405.40 of Homo sapiens. Classification (NCBI taxonomy): domain Eukaryota; kingdom Metazoa; phylum Chordata; class Mammalia; order Primates; family Hominidae; genus Homo; species Homo sapiens. Next base: position 44,506,662 of record NC_000021.9, read on the forward strand.
TGGGAGGAGGACGAGGACGCCTGTGATCACATGCTCTGGTCTGGAGGCACGGCCGCGGGCCCCGGGTCAGTGTGAATCCGCGGGGTTACTCCTCAGTCGGATCTGAGCTCTGAAACCCAGACCCGAGGAAGACAAGCGGCCACGTCGGATGTACCAGTGGTGGAAGATCCTGTCCGGCTGCACCGAGGCTCACATCAGAAGCCGGCTTCGGTTTCACCACAAAATAAGGCATCTAGTGCCCGATTCTGCCTCCAAAGCAGCCCTGGGTCACACTCGCTGTAGGACAGATGTTATTCTTCAGAATCACGCCCTCTGGCAAATGCCCATCATCGGACAAATGGACGGATGAAGTGTGACTCAGCCATGAGAAGGGGGATGCTCTGAGCCGCGCGGCCACACCACCAACCCGGAGGACACGGTGCTGCGAGAAAAAGCCAGGTACAGAGGCCACGGCTCTACGAGTCCATTTCTGTGCAGTGTCCAGAACGGGAAATCACAGAGACAGGAAGTGGGCCCGGGGGTGCCCAGTTGGGAGGGAGGGGCTGGAAAAGGGTGTGGGGGGCTCCTTGTGAGGGGATGAGAATGTTCCAGAGTTGTCTGCAGCCATGGCTGCACATATCTGTGGATTTAATAGAACTACTGAATCTAAAAAGCAAACACAAGCGACCATTTGAAGGCAGTCAGAGCCAAGGTTACACACAGAAGCCACAAAACCCCTCAGCGCCCTTGAATAGGGTTTTGGACTTGGTGAGGCCACATCACGTCTCCGGGAAGTGTAGGGAATTCCCCATGCTGGGTAGAAGGGCTAGGAGTTTGACTTGTGTGTGCTGTTTTGATGGTAATTATTAAACATTACCTTAATTAATTGGTAAGTACTTTCTGTGTTTCATAATTTAGTTCATAAACTGTCCATACCACTGTCCAGTGGTGACAGGGCCATAAGTCGCGAGTGTGTAGCTGTGTTCTGTCAGTTCCCGCAGCTTTCAAATCCCGAGGCGTCTGCCTCATCTGTTTCTAGACTGGGCATCATGTCCATGACTAATTTTTAATCACAATTCATTCTCCAACTTGTCTTATTCTAAATGTTGTTCTAAAAAGCCTAATGTTTGTTTTGTTCTCGGCGTTGACATTGGATGGCGTGGATTCGTGCTGGGGACACACAACTGCCACCGCCGCCCCGTGCCTGTTTCTCCTGCCATGGCTGCCAGGCCACGCAGGGGCCACGGAGCCCACAGGCAGGTCACCCCGGAATCCCCAGTGCCCCCAGCAGACACCGCCGCTGGCTCTTTTTCTTTATTATGAGTGTTCTTTTTTTAATTTTTAAAAATCATATAAGTAAGATATTAGTAAGTTAACATTGTCATCCTTTGTAAAGCCAGGAGTTCAGAAGTAACAGGGCAAATAGGGAAAGTCCTTCCTGGCCTGTCTACATACCCCTGCAGCCCTCCCGGTCCTAGGGTGACTGCTGACGGAGAGGGCACTCCCTTCCCGAGTCTTCTCTGCACGTCCGTGGGCACGCACAGCTGAGCGGCACACAGCAGCCCGGCTCGCTCCTCCGCACTGGGGACACAAGATTTCACTGCACCTCACCCAGCCCTTTCCACAGAGCAGTTCATCTTGGAGACTCTTCCCCTCGAAGGGTCTAAAGGTATGTGTTGTTGTGTGTCTCAAGCTGAGATTAGAGCCCAGTGCCCAGGAGGGGCAGGTGAATTGTTACCGAATGAAATAGGAGTGCATGAAACCCGAGGAAACCTGGGAAAGCCGCCTGCTCCATCCCAGGATGGGAATGGGCCAGATTCCAGCTCCAAGCTTGACCCATGGCCCCTGGCTCTGGGATCTGGGTAATACGGATTCGATTGCAGGTTTATTCACAGACCGGAATTCCACCCCAGAGGACGCCCCACACTGGTCAGGATGGTTGTGGATTCTCAGTGCCCACTGTCCAAAATGTGGTGCCCACGCAACCTCCTGTGGCTCCACGGAGCGTGTCGGTCTGGAACCATCACTTTCTCGTACATACAGACCCACCCTCCATGTTCCCTGGATCTCACATCTGTCTCAACAGGCCAGTCTCCGTGTCCTGGTGTTTGTTGTCGGGGAGGATGCAACATCGGGGGAAGGAAGTAATCATGTCTGGTGGCAGCTGGCACTGGCAGGCAGCGGGCACTCGAAGCCTGCACCTCGCACCTGTCCCTCTGGGGCCTCGGCTATCCCTCCGCACGACGGGCATGAAGCCCCCTCCTGCCTCCACTGCTCGGATGAAAGGAGGTAATGGGTGTGAAGGGGCAGAACTCCGCACACAGCACCCGGCTCTGGGAACCAAACCTGTGTCTCAGGGCGGCACTGACTTCCCCAGGCCAGGAAAGTCCCCAGGCCATTCTTTCCACAGGAAGGTCCCCAGGCCATTCTTTCCACAGGAAGGTCCCCAGGCCAGTCTTTCCACGGGAAGGGTGGTGAGGATGAGCCTAACGGGGATTCCGACATGGTGGGCCTCCCAGAGATCAGCCCACCTCCCACTGGCCTGTGGAGGCGCATACCTGCAGGTGAGAATGTCCTGGAACTTGACAAAGGCCTGCGCGGTCACGTTCAGCTCGTAGATGACGGAGTTGATGACATAGGAATCATTCTGGACTTGCATCTCCACATCGTAGCTGTGACTGTTTGCCACAGCGAGGAAGATCCTCTCCCCGATCTGGAAGACCTCCCAGTCTGCAGCACCGAACGTCTAGGACCAAAGGAGAGCAGGTGCAGAGGTGTGGGGGAGCGGGCGCAGAGGTGTGGGGGAGCGGGCGCAGAGGTGTGGGGGAGCGGGCGCAGAGGTGTGGGGGAGGGGGCGCAGAGGTGTGGGGGAGGGGGCGCAGAGGTGTGGGTGAGCGGGCGCAGAGGTGTGGGTGAGCGGGCGCAGAGGTGTGGGAGAGCGGGCGCAGAGGTGTGAGTGAGCAGCACTCTCCCTGGCTGTCCCCAGGGCTGCCACTTGGCAGGACGTGGGATCTTGGCACAGCCCAGTGCCCGCTGTGCTCCAGGTGCCAGACGTGGCACTCCTGCTGGCAGCCTCCTTGGCCACTTCTCCCTGAATGTTAGTGCCAGCTGTGCCCAGCCCTGCCCCTAGCGACCATCTGTGTGACTTGCTTCTCAGCAATCCATGCCTTCTCCTACTCCAGGCCCCAGTGCTGTGCGTCCTACGAGCACCACCTGCTGTCTCACCTCTTCCAGGAAGCCCACCCTGATCCCTCTAGTCCCAGCCTCAGACACTGAAGCAACATCAGGTACCTCTCGAGTTTTCTCTTACACGCTTTCCCTGGCCTTGCAGTTTGGCTGAGTCTTTCCTCTGGCTCTGTAGACAGAAGCCATCTCTGGGTTCCTGTGCTTGCCATTCCTCCATAAATCACTTACCACCGTCAAGAGGCAACAGGTCTGGGGCTGCACACGGAGGCCCAACTGCGGCACCTCTGCCACCAACCTTGAGCTGCAGGACTGTCTGCATGTGGGGTCCACAAGGCGGAAGCTTCTGCCAGCACCTTGGGGATAAGGGTGGTGGGGCTGCACGGGGAAGGGGAAGGCTGCTTCCCTGGGGACAGTGTCCCCACAGGCCGGGGATCCCTGCGCACGGTCCCAGGCTGTCCTAGCTGAGGACGGAGCCGGTCATGCTGCGGGGCTGTGTCTCTTCCTGACTCACCCCCGTCCGGAGGGCCTTCTGCCTGAGGGACATTGCACCACCGGGCCAGGTAAGAAGCAGCTCTGAGAGCCTCCCGTGACAGCAACCACTGGGACGTTTTCTATTTGCCCAAATCGACCAGCAAGGGCCCGGCTCAGACGCCCCTGGGTCTGATGCGACCTGCCCTCCGCAGCAGGTCAGGCACCCTCCCTTGCTTGTATGCTCAGGACGGGGCTGCCCAGGCATCTTCTGGTCCCCCTGACTGTCCGGCGCCTGCCCGGCCGGCTCAGGTGCTGCAGGAAAGAGAAAACTCTGGGCCCAACGTCAACGTGCGTTCTCCACGCCCAGCAGGGGGCGCCGTTGCCCGCCCGAGCCCGGAGAGCCTGGGCTGCAGGGGAGGGCGCCACAGGTGAGGACACAGCTCCGTGGGCACCAGGCAAGGTCCCAAAGCAGATCCGCAGCCGGTCAGAGGAGCGCACATGGGTGAGCTTAAGCTAAGAAAGCAAGACTCACTAGGCAAGGACAGGGGCCCAGGACACCTGGCGGCGCCGAACCCTCGGCGGGGGCGGGGCCGGGGGCTGGCTGAGGCTTTCCCGGGTCAGCGCGCCCTCCCCTCCTGCAGCTCCACGAGATGTGACTATTCCTATCTGCTGGAGAACAGCCGTCCAGGGCCACCCCACGTCCTTCAAGGGGACTCTGAGACACTCTGGGCCGGTGGGACCTTCAGCAGCATCTGGACTTTGGCTGCCTCACAGGTGGGCGGGGGGGAGTGTTACACACAGGCCAGTTCACTGACTCAGCAGAAGAGAAACAGGAATCATCAGACTGTTCAACCCTGGGCTCCTCCCACGCCTGTGCTGAGGAAACCAACTGAGTGGGCAACCCTCACGTGTGTACACATGCCTGCACACACCTGCACACACAGGCCCATACCTGCACACCTGCATGTATGCATACATACACAAACATGGATGTGCACTGTGCGCACACACACATGCACGCCTGCATGCATGCATACACACACAAACATGCATATGCACTGTGTACACACACACATATATGCTTACATTTTTACATGCACAGATGCACATGCATGCCTGTACACATGTGGATACACATGCAGATACACAGGCCTGCTCATGTATACATACACATGTATACCTACACACACGTATGTATGCATGCAACCATGCATCTGTGTCCATGTGCATATGTGTATACTTGCACACATGCCTGTACACAGGCAGATCCCTGCAGGCACACCCATGCATCCGCCTGCATGACATCTACACACACACATGCACCCACACAGCACAGCTCTCCCCACATTGCTGGAAAAGACTGAGGACACACGCCTCCAGCCCTGGGCGTCCTTCCAGTGGAGCCCCTGCTTCTTAGCTACTTGCTGATGCTCACCTGTGTTGAGGCAGATCCTGATGGACTGCCGGGGCCAGAACAGCCTGAAACTCCCTCTCAGGGAAAGGCCCGGAGTGCCCGCCCTGTAGCAGCCCAGGGTGATGGGGGACCCCGAGCTGGCACTCAGCACTGTGTAGAGAGAGCTTTACTGCAAGTTGGGGCTGAGCCGGGCATCACATCTCAGTGATGAGTGAGGTGCCCTCCCTGCCCAAAGGAGCCCTGGAACGGGCTGCTGCAGATGGGGGACCATGGAGGGGCTGCCCGGGGCCTTGGGGGCACAGAGGAAGAGGGCCCAAAGGCATGGAGGACGGACAGGGGAGTTGGCAGCAGGAAGCAGGGAAGGGTATCCAGGCAGAAGGAACTGCAGGACAGACACACAGGACTGAGGGAGCCAGGAGGGCTGGGCGCACACAGAGTGCGGAGCAGGGGCTGGGGCGGGCCTACAGGGCCTGGGTGCTGTGGAAAGCAGCTGGGCCTCCAGGCAAAGGTCACTGGGGAGCCGGAGGAGGCTTTTGAGCAGAACGAGGAGGTCAGATGTATGTGGACGGCTCTGAGACCCACAGGAGCTAGGAAGGTGTCAGGAGAGAGGTGAGCCAAGTGCTGTGGGGGTGGGGTGGGGTGGGTGCCACTCCTAAGATGGGAAAGAAGGGTGGTGGTCTTGGAGACAGGCTTCTGGAGACCCCTCAGAGAACTCGGTACATCCCTAGGGATGGAGACAGGGGCTTTGGGAGACCACTCAGAGAACCTGGTATTTCCCTAGGCATGGGTGGCACACGGGCTGCTGTGTGAGCCCTGGGGAGGGGCAGGTGGCAGGAGCGTAGGGTGGAGGTGGCGGTGCTCTGGCCACAGCCCTGAGGCTGGTGGAGACCCTGGGTTGGGAATGCGCGAGACGGGCAGTCTGGTCTGGTGGGACCTGTAGCACTGCAGCCTGCCTCCAGGGCAGGGATTGTGCCCACGTTTCATGGGGTGGCAGGGAGCAAACTTTGAGTTGCATCTTGGTTGGAGCCCAAGGTGGGGCGTGTATTTGTTCCAGGAAGAGCACGTGTCAGCTGTGGGGGTGGGCATGGAGGTCTGTCCAGGGCATGGCAGTGGCCGGAGTGAATGCTGTGTGGTCACCTGCCTGGGTGCTGCTACGAAGCAGAGCTCTTGCTGGAGTGCAGGGCCAGACAGGCCTGGGGGGCCGGGGGCGGCTCAGAGGCTGCTCAAGTCACCCTTCTGTTCCCTGTACCCAGCGAGGGTCTGTGCACCAGATTTAGCAAATCCAGGGTCCCTGTTCAATCTAAATTTCAGACAACGAATGATTCTTTAGTCTGTGTGTATCCCATGTAATACTTGAAACATACTTTGGCAAAAAGAAAAATTAGTTTATCTGCAACTGGCTGGAGGCTGGCAGAACCCCCACGGGGTGTCACCGGCTCCTGGTCCCAGCATTTAGCTGGCCGAGTCCACGGTAGGGCGGTCATTGTCATTGGCTATTGACAGCCCCTCCTCCCTATGCCAGGCTGTCAGAAGCCCCTTGCAGGTTGGAGTGAACCTGTCCCTCTGCTGAAGCCGGGGCCTTCTCACATTCAGAAGTGAGGAGGTGCCCCCCAGGGGCTGTGCCAACCCAGGCAGAGGGTGTGCAGTGTGGGACCCCCCTGTCAGGCCACTCCCAGATTTTAAGCACATTAGGGACTCATAGAGGAGAGAGAAAGAATCTTCACATCAAAGGCCCTGCCAAACCCTGGCTGGCACGGGAGCCAAGCGACCAGGCACCTGCTGGGCTGGGCAGGCCCTTCCCGCCCTCCCTCCAATGGAATTCCCCAGAGCCTGGCCCTGCTGCCCTGGCACGGTGCCTGGCAGCTCAGGAGCATCTTGCTGGGATGATGGTGCTTCCGGGACTTGGCAGCCAGGAGCACCTGGAGCCCCCAACAGCTCCCTCGAGGGCGGGTGGGCACCCGGTAATCAGTGGATTAGTTGCTGGGCAAAGAGGCCCTTGGGTTCCGGCTTTGATAGGGCAAAGAAAGAGGATGCCTCTGTGGTCTGGGAATGCCAGGGGAGGGGAGGGAGGCAGGATGCACCCCTGGGGCTCCCTCCCTAGCCACCAGAAGGCAGTTCCCCAACAAGCCCTGGTTGGGGGGGCAGTGGCATCCTCTCTGAGGGTAGCCAGCTCAGGCTGGACAAGCATCCCGGGTGGCCATGGGGGCAGCGCTACTGGATGACAGGTGACTCCCTTGAGAGAACTGGGCTCAGCACACTCCCCAGCCAACTCTTGGGTGCCCCCCGTGCTCTTCCCGGCCCTGCAGAACCCGCAAGCCTGGCACCTTCCCCAAGCTGCCTAGGCCACTGCCAGCTCCTGTGTCAGAGAAGACAGAAGTCATGGGGCATAGCTGCCACCTTCCTGGAGCCCTCCCGCCCAGGCTCTGCCCAGCCCCTTCAGGCTGTCCTGGGCAGTGCTGACCCCTCATGCCACCCCCTTGACAGATGTGCAGATGGAGACTCAGACACAGCCAGGCCTCATGAGGGTGCTTAGGGGCTCCTGCCTGTTTTTCTAAGCACCACATGGCTGCCTGCCGGGCACCTGTCCCCAGAGTGGCCCCCACTGTATCCTTGCCTACAGCACCTCTTGCCCTTCCATGGCCATGGAAGCGAGTACACACACGTGTGCATGAGTGTGCATGTACATGTGTGTTGAGCCATGGGCGGGACCCTTGGGAAGTGTGTGGCACCAAGTCGGGGGCCCAGCTGTGACGAGGGGTCCTTACTAACATGGTGGCTGCTGCTGGCCTTGTGAGGACCCCACATGCCGACAGCTGCAATCACAGAAGCACCAAGCTTTGGAAGCTGCAACACCTTCTGAGGTCTGCAGCAAACTCACTTAGAAGCCAAACCTATTTTGGAGTCCACATTTGGTGACCGCGACTGCACGGCCTACTCCTCGTCAGCTCAGGGAGCAGGACCCTGTGCCTAGACTTCTAGGGACAGAGCTCACTCCTCCTTTGGTCCAAGCTGGGGAGGCCCAGTCATTGGAGGCCTGGTGTCTCCAACCTGGAAGAAAGTTGTTCTAGAATTCCTGGTGGGATGGGCAGAAAGACTTTGAGGGCAGGCGGAAGAATGGGACATCAAACCACCTTCCCCAGGGTGGGCAGCCAGCTCCTCACTCATATCTGCCCTGGGGCTGCAAAGTCCTGCCATGCCCACCGACCATTCCCTTGGAGCACTGTACTTAACCTGCAGTGCCCTGGGAATGCGCCCACCCTGTGTTTCTGGGAGAAAGTGAGGTCTGTGTGCACAGCTCCTCAAACCCCACCTGCACCCCACACCCCCGCAGACCCCTCCAGAAAGGGCGCCTCTCTATGGCACACACCCACTTTCAAAGCATCTCGGCTTCACCCGCTTCAAAGCTCACGTTCATGAAAGACATTGCAAAACTCAAACCAAACAGTAAACAAATTAAGACATCTCTAGGACCTAAAAGGATTTCAACACAATGTGAGAAATGTTGGCAAAACATGAAAGTGGGCTTTGTGAGTTTTGAGGAATTACTGAGTTTTGAAAGATGAGGCTCAGGCCAGGTGGAGAGGAAGCCCGTCCATGTGTGCGTGGTCCCAGCGCCTTCCCAGGGCCCTCCTAAGGCACCTTCAGGGCCTGGGCCATGATGGCGCCCCCAGCAGCCAGGTCCCCGTTCCCGGAGTTCTGGTTCTGCTTTGGGAGCTGCAGCCGTGCTTCCTTCTGTCTGCTGTGGTCCTGCTCTAGCCCCTGCTCTTCTCTGATGTTTCTTTCAGGCGGATGTCACCCACCCCTTGGGACTTCGCCATGGGTCGCTAGCCCAGACCCTCCCCTTGGTTCCGGTGGTTCCATTTCTGCCCCTTTGCTGCTGGCCCCCTTCTGAGGATGCCCGTGCATCTCCAGGACCACTGCTCCAGTCCTTGGTGTAGATCAAAGCTGGCCTTCACACGCGGCCTGAAAATGTAGAGTGGCCGCCTTCTGGGCTGGGCTGCCACCTCCACCACATCACCCGTGACAGAAGCCCCGTGTTTTTCGGTAACCACGTTCCACGAACACCTCCCGACTGCCTTCCAGAACACACAAAGATCAACGAAGCTCAGAATCCAGTCCCGACGTCATTTCATGAAGAGCAGGTAGTCCATCAAAGGGATGGGCCCCATGAGTGAAGGGCTGAGACCCCACCATGGTGTGAGGCGTCCCAGGCACTCCCGTCACGGCCCAAACCAGGCTGCAGGCTCCATCCCCATGGGGCAGGCACAGAGGAGGCGATTCATGTGGACACAGGGACACCTGTGGACGCCCTGGCTCGGCCGCTTACCGCCGTGTGTTTGTGGCCAGGTCCCTGCTCCTGAGCCTCAGTTTCCACACCTGTGAGATGGGTCTGAGGTGGAATCGCCAACCAGCTGAGGATGCGCAGCCACAGACCACCTTCCAGAAATCTCCAAAAGGCTTTCCAAAACAGGAAAACAAGGAAGGCTGCCATCAGCAGGAATTCCAGGGCTTTCAGAATGAGGCTGTCAGGAGTGAAGGGAGCTGTGCTCCACATGCAGGGCAGTGGCCAGGGCTGCCAGGCCTTGTTTATCTGGGAGCGCCAGGCTGCCTGCCTGCACCTGGTCTGGGCACCTGAAGGCAGAGCTGCTCCTGCTTAGGGTCTGTGGCAACTGTCCTCCTCAGTGGGTGCTGCTGGGAGCTCCTCTGATTCCTGGTGGGCGGCTTCTGGCCTCGCCTCTTCACCCACGGTGTAGGGTGTGGGATGGAGATGCAGGGCCTCTGCTCTCCTTCTCCCCTCCCCCAAGCAGCCTGGGTTGTACCTCCACTAATAAACACCAACACCCGCGCCCAGGGTGGGTTCGGCCACGGGGCGATTCTCTGAGTGACACATCAGGATCAGCTTCGTGTGGTCCTGACCTTACGGTAATGTCAGCCCCCAGAGCCAGGGGCCGGGCTATGGCACCACCCACCCAGGCGATTTCTATGTCGGGATGACCAACTGTGCCATCCCTGGGGCAGTCCCCCATGCCAGGCAAACATTCTCCTTTCATGCTTAAAATCACAGGACGGGTTCACCTGCTTCGTCCTTGGACCTGTGATCTATGTACGCTGCTTTTCAACAAGTTTCTAGTTGTCCCCTCCTGGGTATGGCCCTCCCCTCCTTCCTTCCCAGAGGAAGAAAACACACCAGCTCTGCATGCGAGAACGCTCCCAGCTCTCCCATCTTCCCATCGCAGGAGCCCCTCGCTCCTGCACCCTGGGGCTTTCGGTCCTGTCCCACCTCAGCGGCTGCTGCACAGGAAGGCCGTCCTGGCCTGGCCCCTGTGTCTCTGCCTTCCTCGACTCCTGCAGTCTGTGCTTCTGTCACTCCTTCAGCACGCCATCCCTGGACACACTTTGTGCTCCGTGGACTCCACAGCCCCCAAACCCCCTCTTATGCCCTCCCTGACCCCAGACCATCTGGGCTGGCTTCTCTCTAGGACACATACCAGTTCTCATTCCAGAACTTTCCTTATGGTCATCTTTGGGTGGAGCCACCACTTCCAGTTCTGATCTTCTCATTCTGGTTGAGTACCTGGGCTTGCCAGTGCACCCCCCAGGAACACCGCCTAGTCCAGGGCTCCCACAGGTCTCAGACTGACAGGAGACTGGGTCATATGACCAGCACTAGCCAATGAGCTGTGAGTACACGTGACACAGGGACAAGCTGGGTCATGTGACTGGCACTAGCCAATGAGCTGTGAGGACGTGAGCACAGGTCCAGCTAGGCTGGGTCATATGACAAGCATTAGCCAATGAGCTGTGAGGACACGTGAGTACAGGTCCAGCTAGGCTGGGACATGTGACTGGCACTGGCCCATGGGCTGTGAGCACAGGTCAGGTCAGCCCCTTCCTGCTGCTTCCCACCGTGTGTGCTCCTTGTCTGACTTGATATGAGAACTAACCCAATATGGCAGGAAGCCACTGACATGTGGGAGCCGTGCATGGCAGTGGCCAGCGTCCTTGTCCTGCGGGGGCTCTGTGGACATCACTCGCCTTCAGAACACTGAGCCCTCCTACCTCCTGATATCCAGGGCTGCCGATGGGAAATCCCAGGCTGCCGCGGCTCCTGTGTGCTTTGAAGGTAACTTTCCTTTGCTCTCGCGCTCCTTGGGCTCAGCGCCCTTTCAGTCTGATGAGATCTGGGCGGTTTTCTTCAAGCCTTCTCTGACAATTCCATCACTGTCCTCACCCTCTTCTTTTTTTTCTAGAACTTTGGTTAGCCAGATACAGACTCTCCTGGTTTGATTCTGTCTCTTTTCATTCTACATTCTAGAAGATACTCTTAACTTTATATTTCAGTCATGTTAATGAATGTCTTCTTTTAATGCCAGCAATTGCATTTTTAATGTCCAAGCTCTCTGTCTCATTAGTAGCATTTTTTATTTCGTAAGTGCAGTATCATCTTGAATACTTCTGAAGACAAGTATAACTTAAAAAAATTCCTTTCTGTTTCTAGAGCTAGCTCAGTTTCTTTCAGCCTTTTTCTTTAGCCTGACTCCTGCAGTTTTCAGGATTTTTGTCAAACATCCGGGGACCCTTAGCTGGAGAGGATGGCATGGGTGACACGCAGCTGGCCAGGTACGCTCTGGGGCACTGGGGCATCTTGAGCACCTTGGTGCAGTGTCGTGAAGAAGACACTGTAAATTGGACTTGGTGTTATCACAGGGGCTTTAGGATCACGGTGTTGGTAGATCTAGGATGATAATCTCCAAAACGCACTCCCCAACCCACTGCAGGGATCCTTTCTCTTGTCACCTCACTTTGTGATTTAGAATGCAGGACCTCCAGGACAGCAGCCTCTCCGTGGCACAACAGCTGTTAGGAGACCTTGCCTAGTTGACGAGAAAGTCACTTGTGGTGCCTTTCCATCCAGGGTGCGCGACTCTGCTCTCAAGACCCCCTGGAGGCCCGCCCCCTGCCCCCCACCAGCTCATTCGTTAGATGATTGGAAGTGACTGCCTACGTCTTCTTTCAGGATAAAGCCTCAAGTCCTGCAACTATTCCTTGTGTGATAACGTTTCAAATCCCTTCCTGGTTCTGGCAAAGCTCCTCAAACATGCTCCAGTGTGCTGGGGCTCTGCATGTGTGAGCCTGGGGCCAGCAGGGCGCACGTTCATGTCAGGGCACCAGTATGATCCTGATGACACATGACTGGTGTGGAGCCCCGGGTGTTTCCACGGGAACTGCTGTCGGCCGGATTGCTGTGCTCTGCAGCTGTGCCCAAGTCCCCAAGCCACCCTTTCGTTGCTGCTCGATGTCACCATTTGCTTTTGTTGTTTTTTTTTTGTTTTTGAGATGGAGTCTCACTCTGTCGCCCAGGCTGGAGTGCAGTGGCGTGATCTCGGCTCACTGCAAGCTCCGCCTCCCGGGTTCACGCCATTCTCCTGCCTCAGCCTCCCGAGTAGCTGGGATTACAGGTACCCGCCACCATGCCAGGCTAATTTTTTTTTGTATTTTTAGTAGAGACAGGGTTTCACCGTGTTCACCAGGATGGTCTTGATCTCCTGACCTTGTGATCCGCCTGCCTTGGCTTCCCAAAGGGTTGGGATTACAGGCTTGAGCCACTGCGCCCAGCCCACCATTTGCCTTTTGAGCCACTGTCCCCGCGTATCGAGCCCTCCTTGGGAGTCCCAATTTCCAGCCCATATCACGCTCTTGGCCCCAGCTTGCAGCTGCTTTCGCATCTCAACCTCACCAGCCTCAAGTCCAACTCCAGGTCAATGATTACTGGTCAGAGGGGCCATTCCTGCTGAGCCCTGTGGTCAGGCTAACCCATGACCGAAGGCTCCTGAACCCTCCTTCAGGTCCGCTGTCCGCACACCAGCACGTGGCCACCAGCCCAGGACACCCTTGTAGTTTCCCAGAGTCTTAGCAGCATGCGTGTTGTGGTGAGAGGACTGTGCAGGGACCAGTAAGACAAGGAACTTATGCTCAGCTCTGTCCCGTGCCACATCAAACCAAGTGACAGGCCGCATTGCTTGGCTTGATCCCAGTTCTGCCACGGGCAAAGCCCTCCACCGTTCTGAGCCTCTGTGTCCTTGTGGATAACAGGGACCAGTGGCAGCAAGCCCCTCTCAAGGTGCTGTGAGGGTGATGTGGGCGGATGCGGGCAGAGCTCTTGGCACAGGTGCTCTACAGAGTCGAGGCTCAGCCAGTGTGAGCCGCTACCACCACCTACCTCCTGAGGCTGTTACCAAGGCCAATGGCTGGAAGGAATCTTGCTCACCCCCAATCCCAGTGCACTGAGCCTCACTCTGCCCCCGTGGCAGGAGGCTCATCCCGCCTCTTCCTGGCTCCCAGGCACGCTCACCTGTTCCATCCACAGCACTAGCGAGCTCAAGGTGTGTTCCTTCTGGCACTGCTGCCTCCTCACCTGGGCGCCTGCGGCTCATCTGGGCGGCCACAGCAGCCTCCCAATGGCTCACTCCCTCCCAGCCACCGACCAGTCATTATCGTGCAGCCCTGTCAACCCCACAAGGGCAGGCTTCACGTTTCACTTGCAGCCTGTGGCTCTGGGTGGTGACCCTGCTGCCTACTCCCAGCCCCACTGCCCTGCAGGTACCCTCCCAACTTTCCCAGCCCTCACTTCCTCCTGGTGAGGGCTGGGAAAGTGGGGAGGGTGCTCCCTGACATCTGCTCTCCTCGTGCCCTGAACATCCACGTAAAGCTGCCCTTCCCCACTGGACCATGAGTGCCCGAAGGGTGGGGCGGTGGTCACCTGGATGACGCTGTGCCCCAGCCTGCCAGAGGGCTGAGCACGTGGGAGTCCCGGAGCAATTCTCTGCACGCATTAAGGCGTGTGATTGGTCCCTGTGAGCCGCGGCTCCTGGTCCGGCCCCTGCGGGCTTCTCAAGGTGGTCACACTCCCGGTTTCCTAAGCTGCTCTTACTCCTGCTGGGTGGAGGGGCTCCAGGAACCTGCGACTGCTGAACTCCATCTTCCTCCCTTCTGTTTTGAAGCTCATTCCCATGTGCTACCTGCAGGCTTGCTCTAATGAGATGTATGTATGGAATGTTATGTATGGAATGTTCCAGAATGCCTTCAATCATTTCAGCCATAAAGCCCCACCCACCACATGCACAGCTTCTTGTCTAATGCAGGGGTAGCCTGGCAAGGCCTGACTGTTGTCACTGTTTTTCCAGACTCCCTGATGGGGGCGGGGGGTCCGGGCATCAGCGTCTGCCATGGTTCTGCCCCTGTACCAGCCTCACTGGGACGTGGCATGGGGGCAGCTCACGTGGCAAGAGTGGCCTGGGTTAGTCTCACTGCCTCGGGTGCAGAAGGCCCTGAGAACATTTCTGCAGGGGAATGAGTCGCCAGGTCAGGGGGCACAGAAGATTCCAGAAGGACACCAGGGAGGTGATGTCTTATGAGAGGCACGCTTCCAGCAAACAGTGGGAGTGCTGTCACCGGCGCTGCAGAGCCCCTGAGCTGCCTCCTCCGGGGAACTGGGCTCACATAGAGGCTGAGCCCGAGGTGGGAGATGCGCCCCCACCTGTCTCGTACTCCGCACCTCTGCTCCGGTCACAGTCCTCAGCACACTTGCTGGGAGCAGGCAGCACGCTGTCCCTGCCCCTGGAGGTGGCCTAATAAGCACCTGTTGCTGCCTCAACTCAAAGGTCTCGTGGTGGCTGGAACCAGCCAAGGGACACTTGAGGCCTGGAGAGGAGCGCCACGTGCTGCCCCGACCCGGCCCCCACGCTGCCCTGGGTCAGAGCCAAGCTGCCCAGCTGCCCCAGGGCCAGGGCCCTGACGACCATACAGACTCAGATTAGACCGCGGGAGCTTCCAAGGGGAGGGAGGGCCTGTTCTGAGCCCGGGGGCTGCTTTATGGAGAACACCATGCCAGGGTGGGGCAGAGCCAGGGTGCGCCTCCTGCCTTATTTCCAGGCACCTGGACTGTCCCTGGGCGCACAGAGGCTCTCAGGCAAGAAGGGCTCAGACGCCAGGCAAGGATCCTGTGCCGTCCAGAGGAGCAGGCCCTGCCTGGGTTTTGGGGTCACGGGTGCAGAGCAGCACTAGGTTTGGCTCTCGGTGGACCCCCAGCCCACATCACCTGTCCAGCAGGTGCAGGTGACAGACGCAGTGGCCAGCAATGGAGAGCCGGGGCTCATGCGGGGGGCCTTACCGGGAAGGACTGGAAGAGCTGGAAGGAGCCCAGGAGTCGGATGTAGAGGTGCGAGTGCACCTTGGTGGAGGTGCCGTTGAAGGTGTTGGCCACCACCAGGAACGAGTAGGGCCCCACACTGAAGAACTCCCAGTCGTAGGCGCCGGAGGTGGCGATGGTCTGGTTGGCCTCGAAGAGCCGGGTTGCCGGGTTCCACTTGTAGATGACACTGTCGATGTTGTGGTTGTCGCCTGGAACCAAGGGACTGTGCTGGGGGCAGGGAGGCAGATTCCACAGCCCCATGGCAGCCCCGACGGAGGCAGAGCCCAGTCCAAGTCCCTCCCCGAGGACCGAAGACCCACGAGGACAAGGCCAACCGCTGGGGACATCCTTTCTTACCTTGAGCCTCCCGCCCTCAGCCCCTTGCTGACTGCACCTCTGGGCCATCACAGGTGCTATTCCCATATGGAAATGCTTGGTGGCCCCCACCGCCCTTGGGACAGGTGTACATCTCCATGGCCTCCCCGTGTCCTGGAGGTGGGGCCCACCGTGTCCTGGCCCCGCTGCCCACGGCTCTCCAGCATCCCCACAGGCCAGGCCTTCCCACGCACTGCCACCTCTGCCCGGAGGCCCCTCCCTCTCAACTGTGGAGCTCCCCCATTGGGTGGGTCGTGGGCTCAGGGGAGTGCAGAGCTGTGGAGCCTGGGCAGGGTTGGGTCTGGGAGGTCCTGCAGGCGGAGAGATGCCCCCAGACCCAGGCCGGCTCGTGGAGCTACACAATGGCAGGTACTCATGGTGGCCGCTCAGGGCAGTGTCCTGGCCTGGAAAGCAGGTGTCCCGGTACCTTCCAGGCCAGTGCTCCTCACTGTCTCTGCTGGCACAAGGCGGGACAGCTGCCTGTCCTCAGGAAACAAGGCCATGGAGGCCATCCAGATCCCATGTCCTCGGCAGCTGTCCTCCACCACACACCTGGCCATGCCAGGCACCAGGCCAGCATCCCTGCCATGGGCCTGGGCCCACCACCCAACATCTGCCCTCCCTGTGCTGGTCAGACCTTTCCTGCTGGGAGGCTGCTTAGTCTGTCAGTCAGTCATTGAGGTAGTCAGTCAGTCAGTTGTCAGTCAGTCAGATAGTCAGTCATCAGTTAGTCACTGAAACAGTTAGTCAAGTAGTCAGTCAGGTAGTTTGTCAGTCAGCCAGGTAGTTAGTCAGTTAGTCAGTCAGTCAGCCAGCCAGCCAGCCAATTAGTCAGTGAAGTAGTCAGTCAGCCAGTCAGTTAATTTGTCAGTCAGGTAGTTGGTCAGTCAGTCAGCCAGCCAGCCAGCCAATTAGTCAGTGAAGTAGTCAGTCAGCCAGTCAGTTAATTTGTCAGTCAGGTAGTTGGTCAGTCAGTCAGTTAGCCAGCCAGCCAATTAGTCAGTGAGGTATTCAGTCAGTCAGTCAGTTTGTCAGTCAGTCAGGTAGGTAGTCACTCAGTGAAGTGGTCGGTCAGTTGTGTCAGTCAGTCAGTAAGGTAGTCAGTTGGTCAGTCAGTTAGGTAGTTAATAAGTCAGGTAGTCAGGTAGTTAGTCAGGTAGTCAGTTAGGTAGTTAATAAGGTAATCAGTCAGTCAGGCAGTTAGTTTGGTAGTCGGTCAGGTAGGCAGTCAGTCGTCAGTCAGTCTGAGGTAGTTAAGTCATTGAGATGGTCAGTCAGTAAGTCAGTCAGTTAGGTCGTCAGTCAGTCAGTTCAGTAGTTAGGTAGTCAGTCATCAGTCAGGTAGTTAATCAGTCAGGTAGTCAGTCATCAGTGAGTGAGGTAGTCAGTTGTCAGGTAGTCATCAGCCAGTCAGATAGGCAGGTAG
The DNA here is from genome assembly GCF_000001405.40 of Homo sapiens. NCBI lineage: Eukaryota > Metazoa > Chordata > Mammalia > Primates > Hominidae > Homo > Homo sapiens. The sequence goes on from NC_000021.9 coordinate 44,523,705, forward strand.
TTAGTCATCAGTCAGTCAGTCAGGTAGTCAGCCAGGTAGTTAATCAGTCAGCCAGTCAGTGAGGTAGTTAATCAGTTAGTCAGTGAGGTAGTCAGTCAGTCAGTCAGTCAGTCAGTTAGTCAGGTAATTAGGTAGTCAGCCAGTCAGTTCAGTGGCTAGTCAGGTAGTTGGTCAGTCATGAGTCAGGTTATTAATCAGTCAGGTAGTTTGTCAGTCAGTCAGTCAATTAGCCAGTGAGGTAGTCAGTCAGTCAGTTCAGTAGTTAGTCAGGTAGCCAGTCATCAGTCAGGTAGTCAGTCAGGTAGTTAGTCATCAGTCAGGTAGTTAGTCAGTTGTCAGGTAGTCACTCAGTCATCAGTCAGTCAGGTAGTTAGGCAATCAGTCAATAAGTGAGGTAGTCAGGTAGTCAGTCAGATAGTCAGTCAGTCAGTGAGGTAGTCAGTCAGCTAGTCAAGTAGTTAGGTAATCAGTCAGTCAGACAGTCAGGTAGTTAGGCAGGTAGTCACTCCATCAGTCAGTCAGTCAGTCAGTGAGGTAGTCCATCAGTCAGCCAGCCAGCCAGCCAGTCAGGTAGTTAGTCAACTAATCATTCAGTCAGTCAGACAGTCAGGTAGTTAGTCAGTCAGATAGTAAGTCAGTTAATGAGTTAGCCAGTCAGGTAGCTAGTCAGGTAATCAGTCAGTTAGTGGGAGAGTCAGGTAATTAGGTAGTCAGTCAGGCAGTCAATCAATGAGTCAGTTAGTTAGTCAGCCAGTCAGGTAGTTAGGTAGTCAGTCAGTCAGGTAGTTAGTCAGGTAGTCAGTCAGGCAGTCAGTCAGTCAGACAAGTAGTCAGTAAGGTAACCAGTCAGTGATGTAGTCAGGTAGTCAGTCAATCAGTTAGTCAGGTAGTTAGCCAGTTAGTCATGTAATCAGTCAGTCAGGTAGTCAGTCATCAGTCAGTTAGGTAGTTAGTCATCAGTTAGTCAGTTAGGTAATTAGTCAGTCAGCTAGTCAGTTAATCAGGTAGTTAGGTAATCAGTCAGTGAGACAGTCAGTCAATCAGTCAGTAAGGTAGTCAGTCAGGTAATTAGTAGTCAGTCAGAGAGTCAGGTAGTCATTCAGATAGACAGTCAGGTAGTTAGTCAATCAGTCAGTGAGGTAGTCAGTCAGCCAATAGCCAGTCAGCCAGTCAGGTAGTTAGTCAGGTAATCAGTCAGTCAGTCAGATAGTCAGGTAGTTAGTCATTCAGGTAGTCAGTCAGTCAGTCAGTCACTCTTTGAGGCAGTCAGTCAGTCAGTCAGTCAGTGAGGCAGTCAGCCAGCCAGCCAGTCAGATAGTTAGTCATTCAGGTGGTCAGTCAGTCAGGTAGTTAGTCAGATAGTCAGTCAGTTAGCCAGTCAGCTAGTCATTCAGGTTGTCAGTCAGCCAATCAGGTATCAGTCAGGTAGTCAGTCAGACAGTCAGGTAGTTAGTCAGTCAGTCAGTCAGTGAAGTAGTCAGTCAGTCTGTGATGTAGTTGGTCATTCAGGTCGTCAATCAGTCAGTCAGGTAGTTAGTCATGTAATTAGTCAAGTAGTTAGTCAAGAAGTCAGGTAATTTAGTCAATCAGTCATCAGGCAGTCAGTCATCAGGTAATTAGGTAGTCAGTCGGGTAGTCAGTGAGTTAGGTAGTTAATCAGCTAGTCAGTCAGTCAGTTTCAGACAAGGAGGGAGGCTGGCAGGTATTCTGTGCTGGGAGTCAGTCTGGCAGTCCATGTTTCTGGGGTGGCTGTGCTGTGGGCAGGTGCCCCAGGGACCACCAGTAGATGTCCCTCCCCCAGACAGTGAGGAACGGTCCAGAACGCATGTTCACCCTGTGCTGCATGTGGCTTATTGTTTTCTAATAAGATACACATTCGCCCTGCCTGCAAGTCTCGCTCTGCCCCTGGAATGGTTGCCTCCCGGTGTGAAGGCCACTCCTGCCCTACCTTCCCGGTGGTTGGCCACCGCCAGGAAGTGCTCCCCATCCACCTCGAAGGCCTCCCAGTCTCGGGCGCTGTGTGTGGCAATGCTCTGATATGGGGTAAACTTCAGCTTTCTGTGGCTCCATTTGTAAATGACAGAGAACTCCTGACCCTTCTCATCTGGTTCAAAATTAGCCACTGCCAGGAAGATCTGAAAGAGAGTAAACCGGGACCACGTGGTTCTGCTTGGGTCGGTGCCAGCGGCCTGGTTTCTGAAGGCTTCTGAACATCAGCATCTCTCTCCAGATCCACGGCTGCTACGTGGTGCAGGGACAGAGGACCGAGGCCCCCGCATTACAGGTCATCATGGTGGGGTGGGCGCAGAGCCGGTCATTACATTCATCAAGACCCTTGAAAATGTCCATATTCTTTACCCAATATTTCCACTTCTATTGCTATCTGAAGGCAAAAACACAAAAGCCAAAATTCCCAAATTCAGGAAAAGCTTTATGCACAAAAATGTTCTTCATAACCCAGATGACCAGAAAAACGCATCACAACCTGCTCTCCTGTGTTATGGGTGTGATCACCACGCAAAGCTGTGTCAGGGCAATGTGTGTAAAACATGAACATGGCGCAATGTGCCCAGGGCTCATAGTGTAGCTGTGTGAACATACAGAATGAGGGGCAAGGTGCATGGTTCATGGACGATGTGCTTGGAGGCAAGGACGCCACATGAACCTACGTACTTGCTTGGATGATGGAACAAAATATTGTCCCCTTTGCTTTTCTGAATTTTCCAATTGTTCTTTGATGCAAAGTTTTTTTTATAACAAAAAATTAAAACCTTATGATGTCATCAATCAAAAAAAAAAAAACCAACTAGTTATTCACCCGCCATGCTGGATGCAAATGCAGCCTGCATGAGGGTGGCTGTAAGCCACAGGAGAGCAGTTTCCATCTGCTGTGTTCACTGCTTTAGCCCTGTGTCCAGGCAGGGCCTGGTGGGCCTCCTTGGCACATTGTAGGCCAGTGAGTGACTATTTGGGGGCAGTCAGGAGGTGCTGTCTCTAGGACATGGCTGTGTAGAGTCCAGGGAGTGGACGGAGCTGGGAAGAGGAAACCCCATCCTTCCCATTGGGATGTCAACCATCTCCCAGACCCACCACCTCGACCCTCTGCCCAGAGCAGCCCTGACAGGAAGGTGGCTGTCAGCCTGCGAGGTCCCACCCATGGCTCCCCTGAGCCTGGCCTCAGCCTTGCATGTGGACATCACGTGTCCTCAACATTTGAGGAAAGGAAGGATCAGGAATGTCCATTTTCTAGTGTCTTTCTGAAACGATTTGTGGGTTCTTGACCAGCTCATGTAAACACTCTCAACAGGTTTTAAATGTAGTGACGAGGGGTCTATGTAGAACGAGATGGCATGTGGGAAATGGTCTGGTCGTCCGTTTTGCGGGAGCCAAGCAGACTGCCTCAAAGTCACATCCTGGATTTAGGGTGGTGGGCTCACGTGTGCGACTCTGTCAGCCTTTTACCGCCTGAACGAGGTGACACCGTGAGAAACTCCTTTACCTGCAGAATCAGTGTAGGGGGCCCCGCCTGTGGACTCGGGGCTTTCCAAGAGAAAGGGGATGGAGAAAGTCACCGAACACAGACTTGCCTTTTTCCCGATGGTGAAATGCCTCCAGGCCTGTGCTTGGTGCGTGGGGATGTTCTGATATGAGACGAACTTCTCTTCGGTCCACTTGTAGACGGCGGATGTGGCTTTGCGATTGGCTGTGGCCACAAAGAGCCCCACCTGAGGGATGCGGAACACCTCAATGCCCAGGGTCTCTGAGTTGGTGGACAAGTTCTGATGCTCCTCCACGTAGTCCAGTCTTTCTTTGGCTTGTGATAGAAACGTTGTGACTCGGTTAAGATTTCCGAGAACGGAAATCCAGAGCAATCCTCGCGGGAGCGCGATTCCCAAGCCCCAAGTCACAAGCCACGACTCCTGCGCCTCAGCCTCGGGCATCAGTTTCCACGTTTCGCTCTCACAGGAAAGGCCTGTCAAAGGGAGGCCACTCACTGCTGCCAGGGGCTTTGTGATCTGTGCAGCCCCCAGTGAAGTTTACATGTTGTGGGTTGTGGCCTTGTTAAAAGGCTCACTGCTTCTACGGCAAGTTGTGCTCTCGATAATGTGAAAGAGAGCAGCTCACACACGTGCTGGGCGGAACCCATGCCCATTTCCCACGGGTAACCTGTCTGGAGCATCTATCGCCACCTCCACTCACCTCCCCAGCAGCGGGAACGGACTGCTGAGAAGGCTCTCTGTAAAAATAACCTTTCAGGCTCGTCATCTCCTTGGATCTCATCTCTGATCTAGCAGACAGGGAGGGTGTGGGCAGAGGCGGCAGCCGGGCCACCCTACCAAGGAGGCTGCAGGGAGGCAGGCATTGTCTTCCCATGGTTTGGGAAGGGGTACCACGCGATGCCCAGCCCTGTCAGCCCGTGTGTCATGCCCTGGAGGTTCACATTTCCAATTGAGATGCACAGGCTCGAGGCTCCTGGTGGGGCAGTTTCCTGTCCTAAGTGGTGCCTGCCCTGAGGAGGGCCTGTGGCTGAGTCCTGTGGCTCTAGGGAGGGCAGTGTCCTGCCCGCTGCTTGCTTTGGGGGTCAGGACTGATGCTGCCTCTCACTCTTAGAAGTGCCCCAGCCTGACGGCCAAGCCTGAGGTCATTCAGAGGTGGCTGAGGTGCCCCCTCTCCTAGCCTCCACTCCCAGTCACACTGTGCCAGAGTGGCCCTGCATGCCAACGCCCCGGGTGCAGGGCTGCCTCACCTGCTAACACGGAGACCCACTCGTTGCCAACACACAGATACAGGCCCTTCCGGCTGGCATCAAACCAGAACTGGGCGTCTTCCACCTCGGTACACGGTGGCTGGGGTCCCAGCGTCACTCGAATGTTGGTTTCTGAGGGGAAGACCAGGAAGATGAGTTTCCAGCAAGCCAGTGCCCCCAAAGGAAGACGACACAGGAAGAGGCCCCCAAACCAGGCTGCCCTGCCTCAGCCTCTGCATGCGGGCCTGGAAGGGCCCCTGCAGGCACCTTGGCACAAGCCTGCCACATCACAGACGGGGAATTGAGAACCTGGCCTACCGGTGACGAAGGACATCATGATGCCCCCTATATGGTCAGCCCACCCTCTGTCCACTCTGAAAGGCGTGGCTTTCCATCCCATTGAGGCAGAAAAGGCCTGCTCCTCTGAGAGTCCTCAGCGATTGCACAGGGCATGGTCCCCCCTCAGGAGGGAGTCCCTGTTGACAGTGGTGTATCTTAACGACGGCTTGGCTTGAACCTGTGGCGGTTTGATCTCATCACTTCCAGTAATCACACCCCACCATGGGTCCTAATTCTGCCACCTCTTGACTCTATGTGGGACATCTGTGCACCTGCCAGCCGGTGCTGGCCAGCGGTGTGACACAGTATACCATGCGGCCCGGATGTGTTGGAGGTGGGGGCTCCCCTACTTGGTAACCGCTAACCCTGAGGCTCGGGGGCTCGGCTGTTCTCCACCTCACTGCCCCTCGGGTTGGCTGAGAGCAGTGGGGATGCGGCGGGGAGGGGCATTTCAGATTCTCCATGGCAGGAGTGTGGTTTAAATAAATACAGTCACCCTTGTAACTTCACACAAGAGAAAATCAAGCGGGGAGGCCCTCTGGGCCGGGGGATCGTGGAAGACGTGAGTGTAGGGCCAGAGTGGGCCCGACTGGGGCGGGCTGGTCTGGATGATGGTGGGACAGAGGCGGGGTGGGGAGAAATGGCCCAAACGCTGTCCTTGGGGGGCAAAAGGGGATGAGGGATGTCAGATAGCTCTGGACAGACTTTCTAAAGTAAGTTAGGCCTGTTTTCTGCCTGGGGTCCCCAGGAAGGGGCTGGATGGCTGTCGTGGGAGTGCTTGGAGGGAAGGGCAGGATGACACTGGCCTGTCTGATGGTGCCGCCTGCCTTCCTAGGGGTGGGCCCCGAGTATCCCCCTGGCCAATATGACCGCTGCCCCCCGTAGCAGTGATGAGGGGGGCAGGCACACGAGAGGGGCTGAGAGCTGAGCCCTGAGTTCCCGCCTGGTGTGAGGCCAGGGCTCTCGCATCTGCCTTTGGTGTGGGGGCGGGTGGCCCCCCTACTAACCATAGGGATATTTTAGCACCTCGTTATCTTCTGGCTTCCCCGTGAGAGCCTGCAGGACCCGTGGGATGGACAGCACCGCCAGCGGGGCGTTCCTGCTGGGACACAGCCTTGGGGTGGCGTCTGAGCCCGGCAGCAGGACCAGTTGCCTCACCAGTCCCTGCAGAGAGAGGGACAGCTCCTTCAGGCCCGCGCTGCTGGGGAAGGACCCGCTGAGGAGGCGACCACTGAGCTTGGCCCATCCAGAGCCCGGAGGAGGCTCGGGTGGATGGAATCTAAGCTTTTGCAGAGCTAACTGGGAAGAGTTTACATGATGGTTACTGAGGAGGCCATGGGAGCAATGGTGAAGAATTGCCCCCCTTCCGAGGGAACTGAACCACAGAAGGGGTTTTTTATGTGAACTTAGAGTGACTGGCTACTCTGCTCATCCAACAGCCCATCCACCCATCCTGTTCATCCATGCATTCATCCATCCATCTGTCCATCCATCAGTCCAATCCATTCATCCATCACTAATCCATCCATCCCTCCACCTACCCATCCATTCATCCATGCATTCATCCATCCATCCACCCATTCATCCATCACTCATCCATCCATCCCTCCATCCACCCATCCATTCATCCATCCATTCATCTTTCTCTCCATCTGTTCATCTCTCCACGCATCCATCCCTCCATCCATCCATTCATCTTTCTCTCCATCTGTTCATCTCTCCACGCATCCATCCATCCATCCATCCATTTGTCCATCCCTCCATCTGCCCATCCATCTGTCAAACCATGCATCAATAAATATTCAGAGCATCTGCTATGTGCCAGGCATGGCTCTAGACACTGGACTCAGCAGGGAACAAAGGCCTCTAGCCTCATGGAGTGAGGTCCCCACTCACACGTGAGTGGAGACACAGGCACCGAGCAGACACCCAGCTGGCCTGAGAGCAGCAGGCCCTACTGAGGAAAGACAGCTCCGGGGAAGGGGCTGCAGGGCAGAGTGTGGGCATCAGCTCAGCATGGTGGGGGCAGCCTGAAGAGGACCGTTGGGCAGGGACCCAAGACCATCAGGGAGGAGGGTGCCAGGAGGAAACAGCAAGCGTGAAGGCCCTGTGGTAGAGACTCCACGCACGCTGTACCTTCTTTTCCCAGTTAGCACGTCCAAGGATCTGTCAACTAGAGCAGTAGGACAACTGGCCTGGGGCAGTCCCATCCCGCAGCACGGGTGTTGGGAAGGCAGCCCCTCCATACTCGCCATGAACAGGCCTTTGGCTCTCCTCCGGCTGCCGACGAAGAATCGAGCTCCTTTCACTGACAGGGTGGCTGGGAAGGGCACATCGGCCATTCTGAAAATATCAAAGGACTGTGTTAGGGCCATAGGAGAGTGGTCACCCCAGTTTACTCACAGAAGGAACAGGAACAAGCCCCTCACTAAGCAGCGTGCATCTGTGCTGTGGCTGCCACACAAAGGATGGCACACAGGGCTGATCGCCTGCACAGCTCTGGAGCCCAGTAGCCTGGATCAGGCTGGGGCAGGGTTTCTCCGAAGGCTCCAGAGGAGGACGCTTCCTCGACTCATCAGCTTCTGGTGGCTGCACGTGCTCCCCGTGACCTGTGGCCATGTCGCTCCAGTGTCCGACTCTCCCAGTATCTGTCTCCTGGTAAGGATCCTAGTCACACTGGAGCAGGGCCCGCCTCACTCCAGGATGATCTCAGCTTGACTTGATGACTGCAAAGACTCTGTTTCCAGGTAAGGTCACATTCACGGGTGCTGGGTGGACATGAATTCGGGGGGGGCACTTCACCCCAGGGCCAGGGCCTCCTGCAGAAGTGCGTGGTGACATGCTTAGTGGTTCTTCCCTATCTCATGGTGAACGTGCAGTGGCTTCGACCTGCACAGGGTCCTCCAGCCCACTCACCCTCCCTCCACTGAGCTCCTGCACCATCACCCGGCCTGGGGTGCTGGGACAGATGGCTTCAGGACAGGAAGGAGGCTGGTGACCCATGAGGGTGTCAGGAGCAGGCGGTCTTGACGAGTGCGTGGAGGCTGAACTCCGGAGATGGAGCAAGGTGGGTGCCCGCTGAGGGACAGCGTGGCTAGAGCTCCTGGGCGGAAGAGCAGGGGTGCCTTCGGGCTCGCCTCCCGCCCACGCTGCCACTGTCTCTTGTAAAACACCTGCTCCTTCCAGTCTTTGCCATCTGGCTGCAGCTGGCCGTGGTGAGCTCAGCTCCTGCCCTGCTGTCCCAGAAAGCCCCGTCCTCTGCACACAGCTCGGCCTCTGCTAGGGTCCAGGCTGCTGGCCCCCAAGCCCTGGCCTGTACCCTCCGTAGCAGCCTGCCAAGGGGTTAAGTTCTTCCGTGGCCACAATTGGTTCCAGGCCTGTGACTCCCCATGTCCCACCATCTTCCCCAGGAAGTCCACTTTTAAAACATTCGGGGAACATTCCTAATCATTATGCTTTCGACCCTGATTTCTTCCTTTCTCCTGATGAGGCAGGTGAACGTTTGTCCAGGCCTCAGGCGCTGCCGCCACGTCATTCCTAGCTGCTGTGGCAAAGCCAGAAGTCAGGCAGCATTCACGTCCAGCCAGGACTTTCTTTACGGGGTGGGAAGCTGCTGCTAGGTCAGGTTGTCTTCAGCCTGCACAGCACGTCCCTGGGAGGCTTCCAGCTCTCAGGACCTGAGAACTCATCACCGTCCTGAGGGCCCTAAAGAGTTTGGGGTATGGTGGGAGAGAGGCTCTGATAAAAGTGTGTTTAAGCTAAGTGCATAATAAAAATATTTATGCGATAAGTTTCATAACAAAACAGAAGATCCTACCTTTGAAAGTAATATTCGAAATAATTTAATATTTAATAGATTTAATATAAACTGGATCATTTGCAATTAAAAAGACAGAAGCGCAGCCCTGCTCCACAGTGGTAGATCCTGACATGGGTAACCAACTGGCCGAGCTAGGGGACTGAGGACTCCTGTCCAGGGGACCTACCGTCAGGCCACAAACCAGGCGACGGCAAAAACGAGAAACGAACTCGGCTTCCAAAAGCCCCCATTGTGTCCAAGGCTACAAAGGATAATCTTGTACTCATTTGGAGTTTCTGTCAACATCTGCTCCCTCGTCCACGAGGAACCTGCCATGTGGAGTCACGGAGCCAGGCCTCGGCCTCCAGCCTGGAGGTTGGGGAAGGAGTTACTCTGACTTCCCGCTGCTGCCTGTTGTGATGTTAGCGCCCTCCCCACAGTGCCGGTCCCCTGCCAAGTCCCCTGAGCTACTTCTGGAAAAGGAGTGCGCTTGGTGTGATCGCCCTTACCTTGTTCTAAGCCACTGACTCTGATGTGCAGCGGGTTTTGTGTTTAAGGCGTGGAGAAACATTAAAATCGGGGTTTTGACAGGAGTGTGCTTCATAAACGCTCCGCGGGAGAGGCCCATTCCCCTTCCAGCCCGAATCCAGGGCATCACTCACCACCTGTTCTCGCCAATGTCCACTCTGCCCACAGATGGTGAGCCTGCCTCACCCCATGCAGCCCTGCAGAGGCTGGCGCGGACGCTGACCTGACCTCCCATGGTCAGCCCCTGCCTCATGAATGGCTCTTGCCCCCTGGTCGGCTCCTGCCCCGTGGATGGCTCCTGCCCCTCCACCCCATGGCTCCTGGCCCCTGGTCGGCTCCTGCCTCTCCACCCCATGGCTCCTGTCCCTCCACCCCATGGCTCCTGGCCCCTGGTCGGCTCCTGCCCCGTGGATGGCTCCTGCCCCTCCACCCCATGGCTCCTGACCCTGGTCAGCTCCTGCCCCAGGACAGCTCCTGCAGGTGTTGCTCGGCGAGCACGGCTGAAGGATGCCTGGCCTGGCAGGACTCTGAGGACTGCAGGTGCACCCTCCCCGGGTGGGTACCTACATGTCCACCGGGAGGCCGCAGTCCGTGGTGAGGGAGAAGACGCCTGCGGACACAGCCAGGACCAGTGTGTGCCAGCGGCCATCCACCAGGGCCGGGCTGCGGAAGGACACTCGGGTCTGCCAGGCGCCGGCCGTGTCCTCGCGAAGGAACAGGAAGTGCAGCTGGGCAGGTGACAACCGCAGGCCGAGCAGCAGCAGGTCGCTCTCCTCTGCCACCACCGTCAGCAGGTACTCGTTCCTCTGTGGAGAGCGGGCCAGGCTCAGGACGGGGCTGGGGGTAGGGGTCGGGTGCGGGGGCAGGGCAGATGGGAATGGCAGAGGTGATGAGCACAGGTGGTGAGAGGAGCAGGGGCTGACTGGAGGGGCGAGGTGAGGGGGCGCGGTGGATGGGAAGGGCAGGGTGGATAGGGGCCTTCTAATTAGCCCTCTAATGGGGAGGGATGGGGTTGATGGAGCGCTAGGGCTGGTGCCAGGGGTGGAGCTGGTGTGAGGGGGCGGGGCTGGTGTGTGAGGGGTGGGGCTTGTGTGAGGGGGCGGGGCTGGTGTGTGAGGGGGCGGGGCTGGTGTGGGGCGGGGCTGGTGTGTGAGGGGTGGGGCTTGTGTGAGGGGGCAGGGCTGGTGTGTGTGGGGCAGGGCTGGTGTGTGAGGGGTGGGGCTGGTGTGGGGCGGGGCTGGTGTGTGTGGGGCAGGGCTGGTGTGTGAGGGGTGGGGCTGGTGTGTGAGGGGCGGGGCTGGTGTGTGAGGGGGCAGGGTTGGTGTGAGGGGGCGGGGCTGGTGTGTGAGGGGTGGGGCTGGTATGTGACAGGGCTGATGTGTGAGAGGGAGGGCTGCTGGGCCAGGGGCAAGGCTGGCGCCAGGCCGTAGGGACCGGCTTAGTCAGGAGCACGGGTCCATGGTAAAACCCAAAGGCACCCCCACACACTAGGATGGCTAATGCCCAAAGAACAGAATGTGTTATGCTGGCGACACTGTGGAGAAACTGGAACTCTTGCGCACTGTTGGTGGGAATGTAAAATGGTGCAGCCACTGTGGAAAACAGGATGGCAGTTCCTCAAAAAGTTATAAACAGAACGACCAAATGATTCAGCAATTCCACTTCTGGGTCCATTCTCAAAAGAATCGAAAGAGATACTTGTACACACATGTTCATAGTGGCTTACTCACAATTGCCAAAAGGTAGAAGCAACACAAGTGTCCACGAACGGATGGATGGGTAAACGCAGTGTGGTCCAACCACACAGTGGAATATTAGTCAGCCATAAAGAGGGAAGGAAATGCTGACACATGCTGCAACATGGATGAACCTTGGGGATGTTCCACTTATATGAGGTCACTAGACTGGTCACATTCACAGAGACAAAAGGTAGAATGGTAGGTGCCGGGGCTGGGGGGTGATGGGGAGTAAGTGTTTAATGGGTGTGGAGTTTCAGTGTTGGGAGACGAAGAAGTTCTGGAGATGGACGGTGGTGATGGCTGCACAACAACATGGATGTCCTGAATGCCACTGACTGTACCCTTAAAAATAGTTTCGATGGTAAATTTTACATTACGTGTATTTTACCACAATTAAAAAACAAGAACGTATACAAATGCGGTGTCCACCAAGACCTCAGAGCTTTTTGGCTTCCTTTCCAATTTGGGTTATGTGAAACAAAGCACTTGATTATACTTATTTCCAACTTAGATTCCATTCATTCCTAGCCCAACACAATTAAAGAATTGAAAGTGATTAAGCCTGAAAGGTAAAGCAGGTATGAAAACAGTTAGACAGCATACAGTCACGTACGGCCAGAGCCTGTTTCAGTTGACAGTGGACAGCACAGGGGATGGTGGTCCTGTAAGATTGTAACACTGACGTTTTACTGTATCGTGTCTGTGTTTAGAAACACGAATACACTGTTTGTACACTGCGACTGCCTGCAGTATTCCCACAGTAGCGTGCTGGAAGTAGCTGCTCACTGCAACCTCTGCCTCCCAGGTTCAAGCAATTTTCCTGACTCAGCCTCCAAAGTAGCTGGGACTACAGGTGCACACCACCACACCCAGCTAATTTTGTATTTTTAGTAGAGATGGGGTTTCACCATGTTAGCCAGGCTGGTCTCAAACTCCTGACCTCAGGTGATCCGCCCGCTTCGGCCTCCCAAAGTGCTGGGATTACAGATAAAGCAAAGTTTTGAGCTTTAAGACCAGAAGGATCAATTTCTATGTTTATCAAAAAAAAAAAAAGGAAAAAAGAAAAAAAAAAACTATCTATGGGGCTATTAGGTCTTTTTCCATTGGAAGTGGACTTTCTGTTCTGCCCAACTTTGCTTCCACTCCAAGCTCCTTACCCTCAGGTTGGGAGACAGAGGGACTCTTCTGTGGAAGGAAGCCCTGGTAGCTCAGACTCAAGAGTTCACAGTGGCAGAGTCCAGCCCTGTCAGGCTTCTTCCTGCAGCCGCTTGTGTTCCATGGCTGATGGAGAGGAGGGGCCTGCCCAGCTGCAGTGGCTGTTCACACTCTGGCCCCCTTTCCGGGCGGTGCTGGGCTTCTCCCATCCTCAGGCTGCTGCTCCTGCCAGTGCTCCCTCGGCGTCCTCCGGCACAGACCTCAGCAACACTGACTTCTGGGCCTGGTTCCTACCCACTCGCATTTTGGGCCCTTGGGTGATATCTTGCCATTAAGTTCTGTCCTAAATGGAACCCATGGGTTTTTCTTTTTCTATCTGGTAATTCTCTCTGTTTCTATTTGGGATTTAGGGAGATTTAGAAACTATGCCTCAGGTAGCACCATGTCTCTAGGATCCACTCCTCCCTCTCAAAACAATCCTTGATTCTAGTAAATGAAAATTCATAGCAAAAAGGAAATAGAAAGACTTGGTTTAAAAATAAAAGGTTTCTACTTAAACCCCACAGCAAACACTGCGTGTAGTGGTGAACCTTTGACGCTTTCTCATGAAAGTCAGGAACAATCAAGGATTCTTTTAATTTTATTCAGCATCATCCTGGGTGTTCAAAGTAATGTTGCCACAGGAAAAACAATAGAAATGGGAGTTTTAAAGATTGGAAATGAGAAGTTAAATTCTCCTTATTTTCAAATGATGAGCTCATCTACATAGAAAAATCCAAGAAAATCAATGACAAACTGTAAGAACTAATAAGAGAACTTGCAAAGGAAAGGAGCTAAACATATGGTTTGATATGAAGACAATATATATGTAAAAAATTTATATAGACATATATACAGGATTTATATACTAAGACAACATAATAGAAAACTGTTCCCCATTCACACTAGTAAAACATCCCTATGAAATACCTCGAATTTAATCCAAAGAGGAATATTTTAGACCTATAGAAGAAAATGATGGAATTCTAAATGGAACTATTGTACTGTGTAACTGCAAGGCAAGACAAGATGAACAATTATAGTTTCCTCCTACATATTTAAAAGCTCAATGCAATCCCAATCAAAATTATAGTAGTTTAAAAAATACTGGAAAAGCTTTCTAAAATTAATCGAGAACAAGCTAGAACCAACGTTTTTAGAAAATAAGATAGTGGCACCTTCCTTAGGAGCTGTTAGTTTCCTCCTACATATTTAAAAGCTCAATGCAATCCCAATCAAAATTATAGCAGTTTAAAAAATACTGGAAAAGCTTTCTAAAATTAATTGAGAACAAGCTAGAACCAACGTTTTTAGAAAATAAGATAGTGGCACCTTCTTTATGAGCTGTTAGGATATATTATGAAGCTGAATAACATGGATAAAACAGCTGGAATGGATGCAAGGATAGATCAAGAGATGAATAGAACAAAATACAAAATAGGGATTTCAGAAGCAGGCTATACAAACATTTCTCAGACAAAAGAGATGTTTCAAATGGGAGATGGAGAGAATAAACTAACTTTAAAAAAGGACAGTTGGCTATTGGTGGAAGAGAAAGATTAATACGTCATACCTCACACAAGTCATATCAGCAAATGGGGCAAAAAGTTAAATCTAAGCAATAACAATGAAACCAATATCAGCAAAATTAGGCCTGTTTCCAATCTCGGGGAGTGTGCTGTATAGAAGCAATGATGGGTTGGAAATATTTGGAGGGCATATGATGGACAGAGGATCCCCAGCCCTAAATCCACAAGAAAAACACACATAGCCTGATAAGAAATGGGCTAGGAATGTGAACAGGAAACTTTCAGTGTGGACGGCCATGCATTTAGGCCATAGTGGGTTCCCAGCAGCCGTCAGTGCGGAGGGCAGGGAGCTGAGAGCAGATCAGGCTGAGCCGGGGTCACGCGGGGTCCCCCAGCCACTGAGGGCCCTGGGCAGCAACCACGCAGACCCCGCCCCCCAGGCTCCACCTCACTTTCTGTGGCATTTCTGTGCCTGTTCTGACCACAGCCGTGGCAGCACCATGTCCATCAGGCTGCGGCCGGCCTGGCTGTGGGGTGACTGCAGCATCCCAGGGGCGGGCATTCTCATCAGCGTTTTGGTCTCTGCAGCTGGCCTGGAGGAGTTTGTCTCACAGTCTGAGGACTGACTGCTCTGCACCCACCCAGGGTGGCGGAGCCCCATGCGCTGCCTGATCTTACCATTGTCCCCGCTGACGGCCTTTCCCACAGGACATCACAGGCAGCTCATGCTCCCCGCGTGGACCAAGCCTTAGAGAGATGAGAGTGTCGCTGACTGTGTGCCCGCACCGGCATCATCTGTGGGAACCCAGGCTCCTTGTCCCTACACCTGTGTGGAAACTGCTGCCCCCCCCCCCCCCAAGAGGAGAACCTGGGCAGCGCCAGGGTTTTGGGGAATCCTGTGCCTCCATCCGCCCACCCCATGATGCTTTTGTTCCCATCGAGTCCCTTGTCTCCTGCGCAGGTGCAGCAGCCCCTCCCTCTCCCCTCGCATTGCTGCTAAAACGGGCAGAACCCTCGGGCGGGCGGCACACAGGGAGGGTGACCAGGCCTGGAGGCTGCAGTGCCCGGACCCCAGGGCAGCTTCCCGGAAGGTGACCCTGCAGTGTGGGCTCTCCCAGGTGAGAGAGTGGGTGGGACAGTCCTGGGGCCTGGAGAGCCCCACAGCCCAGGGCATGACAGCGAATGACCAGGCTCAGGAAGACCCGGGCACAGGGGCTGAGCTGGGACTGAGCCTTCCTGGGAGTGACCGTGAGTCCCACCTGGTGACCCCCTGGAGGAGTTAGGCCACTGTCCCCTGTGACTTCTAGGTTAAGTCACTCATTCCTAAAAATAATCATGGCTGGAGGAGACCAATGTCAGCTCAAAACCATGTGTCCCCCAGGAACACAACAGAAAAGAGAATCAGGTGACCAAGGAGAGTTTATTGGGGAGCAGGAGGAGGTGCTGAGAGGTTCAAGTCGAGGCCAAGTGACCCAGAGCAGAGAAGCTGGGAGGGAGGACAGGGGACCTAGCAGGCAGGTGGGCACCTGCTGGAAGGCAAGAGCTGGGGAGCTGCAAGGATGGAGGCTCCTGGGAGCAAGGAGGGGGGGTCACCTCAGCACAGGGGAGACACGGGGACCCGTCCTAGGTGGGGGAAGCCACCTAACCCAGGTCAGGAACTGAGCCCAGCTGGCCCAGGGCGGGTGCCCATCAGCAGCTGGACTCCTGGCCTGAGCAGAGGCCTCAGCAGGCCGGGCGGGAGCACGCGGGGCGGCAGAGGAGGGACACGCAGGAGGCCGGGCGGCAGCAGCTGGCCTGGCAGGAGGAGGCAGGGGCACAGCAGGAGGAGACAGGCATACAGC
Organism: Homo sapiens; assembly: GCF_000001405.40. NCBI lineage: Eukaryota > Metazoa > Chordata > Mammalia > Primates > Hominidae > Homo > Homo sapiens. The sequence continues at coordinate 44,539,421 of NC_000021.9, forward strand.
AGGCGGGCCGGCATACAGGGCGGCAGAGGAGGGACACGGAGGAGGAGGGTCTGCAGCAGGAGGTGGTGCAGCAAGCCGGCTGGCAGCTAGACTGCTGGCAGCATGAAGTGGAAGCCCCAGAGCAGACGGGCACACAGCAGATGGGCTTGCAGCAGACAGGCTTGCAACGGACGGGCACGCAGCAGGCCTGCTGGCAGGGGGAGGAGGTGCAGCAAGCTGGATGGCAGCTAGACTGCTGGCAGCATGAAGAGGAATCCTCAGAGCAGGTGGGCACATAGCACACAGGCTTGCAGCAAACAGGCACACAGCAGGACTGCTGGCTGGAGGAAGAGGCACAGCAAGTTGGCTGGCAGCTAGACTGCTGGCAGCATGAAGAGGAATCCTTAGAGCAGGTGGGCAGGCAGCACACAGGCTTGCAGCAGACGGGCACGCAGCAGGCCTGCTGGCAGGGGGAGGAGGTGCAGCAAGCCGGCTGGCAGCTAGACTGCTGGCAGCACGAGGGCGTGCAGGAGCTGGTGCAGCCTGATTGGCAGGGGCTGGGCTCACAGGCTGCCTGGCAGCAGGGGCTGGACACACGGCTCACTGGGGTGCAGACCAGGGTCAGGCAGGGGGCCGGGGCGCAGCAGCTGAGGGCGCAGCAGTGGGGCTCACAGCAGCTCTCTGGGCAGGCATCCACCTGCCAGGAGTCGGAGCAAGCGCTGGAGCAGACGGACATGGTGGACGCGGCCATGCTGGGGTGGGGAGGAGGTGAGCTGCGGGAGGTGTGAGTGAGTGAGTGTGGGAGTCAGTGTGTGTGTGAGTGACTGAGTGTGTGAGTGAGTGTGTGAGCTTCGTGGGGCTCTGCTTTTATACCCCTTCTGGCCTTGTTGTTCCAGGGCCCACAGCGTCCCCTTCCTGGTTGCTGAGAGGTGGCGTGTGTCATGACTAGGGATGTTTGTTTGCCTGTGATGTGGCCCAGGTCATAAATCTCCTGTCCTGTCTGGGCTGTAGCCTGTCCCATGTGGATCCCTGGGGGCAAGAGTGGAGGTGGACCTGGTCCCAGCACGCCACCAGTGCAGTCCGGGTTGTAAGAAGGGGGCTGCGGAGGCAGGGGTGGCCCTTCAGCCTTATGCAAAGTGTGGCATGCCAGGGTGAGAGCTGTCCCACTCACGATCGTGGGGGCGTCTCCTCCCTAAAGCGGGTCCTCACTGAAGAGGCAGAAGCAGCTGGTAGAAGCACAGGATCACTGGAGCAGCCGGAGAGAAGGTGCAGCAGTGGCCAGCGAACCCCACAGTGGTGGCCCTGCACATTCCTTCCCCCATCCCCATCACTGAAGAAATTAGAGCCCCAAACAGGGAGAAGGGGAGCAAGGAAGGAGAGGCCATGCCCCTCCCCACGGCCTTCCCCGAGGTCCACTCAGACGTTGGTGTGGGAACGCTGGGGATAGGACTGGGTTTCGGACAGGAAAGAAAAGTTTTGAACTGGCCCATGGATTTGGTTCTGCTCTTAAAGGCCATAGCTTTATGATGTGCTTCAACCATAGATAACTCAAGTCCCGTTATCAATATTCTTAAATTTATTTTTTTTTTTTTTTGTACAGATGGCGTCTCAAGTGATCCCTCCTGCCTTGGCCAAAGTACTGGGATTGCAGGCGTGAGCCCGGTGCCTGGCCATCATCAGTATTTCTGCACCACGTGTCTTCCCTGTTCCTGTTCATTGTCCTTGCTGTCCTCAGCTTCCTTTCTTCAAACGTAAGCTGCATGTGAGCAGGGAGTGTGTTTGTCTTGTTCACCACTCAGTCTTCAAAGGCCTAAAATCATGCCTGGCCCAAGGAAAAGCCTTTATAAAAATGGGCTGAAATAATAAACTTTTTTGGAGAAATTATTGAAGAGTAATTTTGAGCTCTGAACGCGATTCCATTGTGCCACCTTTTTCTTATGCTGTATAAAATGCTCTGTCAAGTTCTCCTTTCGTGTGTGGGGAACTGGCTTACATCAGACTGGCCATCTAGCTGAGAAATATTAGGAAATCTGGTTTACAAACAAAATCTCTGTTCGAAGGGGCCGGGAGGTATCAAGACAGCTGAGACTTGAGTGAGTGAATCCGCATTAGAGAGAAACTGCACAGAAGTGAGTCCAATATTCCTTGTGGATTTTCTTACTGAGGCATTTACCAATTTACAGACCACAGCCAAGAGGCCGAGAGCCTGATCAGCTGAGCAGAGCTTTTAGTAGTCTCATGGAATTAGAAGAAAAAAACCACAGAGTTCAGGACCTGACAAGGTGGAGGGATTCTAGCAAAAACACCCTAGGCTTTCAGTTGGAAATGCTGAATGTAAGTGAAGGGCTACTCCCTAGGAGGAAGGAAAAACCAGAAAGAATGAAACCTATCTTTAAATAAACTCGCACTGAACTCATATGATCTGCCTGTAGCCTAACTGCCTCCCAGAAACAAAAGTGATCTCTTCTGGAGACAGCAGCATCAACAGAGGCTCAAATCATCTTATAAATTTTCATAAAGTCCTTCATGCAGTCAAAAAATTACTAGGGATATTAGAAGACAAGACCAACTGACCAAAAGACCAAGAGGAAAAAAACAAACAAGAGAAACAGACGTGCAGGAGATCTAGATATTAGAATTGTGAAACTGGAATTTAATGCTGATTAACTTGCTCAAGAAAATAGAGAACAAATGGAGAATTTCAGTGTCAAACTGGATTTATTAAATGGAATCAAACAAAAATTCTGGAAACGAAGAACACAATAGCTGAAATTAAGAACTAGGTAGCTTAGCTTTACAACATATAGACAAAACCAAAGAGAAGATTAGTAAAGGAAGGGAGATGAGGAAATTTCAAGCCTGAATACAGAGATGGGAAAGAAAAGAGGGAAATAAAGAAAGTGGAGCAATAAACATGCCTATATTTTGTGAAAATTTATGGGAAAAATGATTGAAATCCTACAAGGAGAGGAGTGAAATAGGGGTAGTAAAATATTTGAAGATGTAATGGACAAGAACTTTAACCTGATGAAATGCATAGATGCAAAGAGCATTTAAGAATCTTTAGGCCAGGCATGATGGCTCACACCTGTAATACCAGCACTCTGGGAGGCCAAGGTGGTCAAACTGCTTGAGCTTAGGAGTTGAAGACCAGCCAGGACAATATAGCAAAACCCAATCTCTACAAAAAATATGAAAAGTTGGCCCACTTTGGTGGTACATTTGTAGTCCCAGCTACTCAAGAGGCTAAGGAGGAGAATCACTTGAGCCTGGGAGGTAGAGGCTGCAGTGAGCCAAGATTGCACCACTGCACTCTAACCTGGGCAACAGAAAGAGACCTGTTAAAAAAAAAAAAAAAAGAAAAAGAAAAGAAAAAAGAAAAAGAAAAAAAGGAACCCTCCAAACCAAGAATCTTTAGCAAGTGAACACAAAGAAAACTACACCTGGGCACATTGGGGTTGAAATCCAAAGACAGAAAAATTTAAAAACAGCCAGAGGAAAACAAGACATATTACCTTCAAAGAAGCAACAATAACACTTACAGATGACTTCTCAGTAGAAATGATGAAAGGCAGAGGACAATGGAATGATATATTTACTGTCTGAAAGAAAAGAAGCACAAAGCTAGAATTCTATACCTGGGAAGAAGATTCCCCCAAATGAGAACAGAATAATGACATCCTCTGGACACCGAGAGGATATGTCACCAGCAGGATCTGCACTACAGAAAATACTAAAGGGAGCATTAGGTAGAATGAAAACAAGCACAGATGAAAGCAAGAAGTTGATAAGGAAATGAAGTGTAACAAAAGAAGAACACATGGGGAAAATCTAAATGAATGTTGACTGTATAAAATGTAAGTTGTAAAATATTTATGGAAATAAAATACATGGCAAGAACACAAAATTCAGGAGGGGCTACATAGAGTTAAAGTGGCTTAAGCACACTGCACCATCTGAAAAATAATATAAGGTCTAATTTACATGAGACTTTAAAAAGTCATGGATTCATGTTATAATCTCCACTATAATAACAAAGGAATATACGACTCACTAGGAAGTAGATGCTAGTACTTGGCCGAATCATTCCTCCCCAAAGGTTGTCTCCACCCAGAACCTCCCAATATGACCTTATATGGAAATAAGGTATTTGCAGATATAATTAGTTAAGTCATACGGGATCATAGTGAACCTTAAATCCAATGTCTAGTGTCTTTACCAGAGAAAGGAGAAGGAAGTTCAGACATACACACAAAGGGAAGAAGATGATATGACAACAGAGGCAAAGATTGGAGTGAAGATAGAAGCCAAGGGAACCCAAGGTTTGCTGGGTGCCACCAGAAGCTAGAAGGAGCAAGGGCATATTCTCCCTTGGAGCTCGGAGAAAGCATTGCCCTGTGGAAACCTTCATTTCAGGTGCCTGGCCCTAAGAACTATGACAGAATAATTTTCCATTGTTTCCAGTCACACTTTTGGTGTAATTAGCTATGGTAGCACTAGGAACCAATACAATGAAGGAATAAAAAAACTTAAAACAGTCAATCCAAAAGCAGTAAAGCAAGGAGATAAAAGGGAGTAGATTCCTTGCATAAGCAAAAACCACTGTGAGATGGGAGGTTTAAACTCAAACGTATCAGCAAAGCCCCACATTCTTTCCAGTCCTGCCCATCAGATGTATCATTACTTTAGTCAACACAGCTGTATAGGGAGAGTTCACTGGGGTTTAAGTTTGCGCTGTCCTGGTGATCCATGATGTGAAACATGTTTCCATGTGTTTATTTGCCATCCATATTTGTTCTTTAGTGAAGGGTCTATTTAAGTCATATATTATATGGCAAAATACTAAACACTGTGGGATTCTGTAGATGTGATATTATGGCAATAGTAATCATAATAAGACAAAAAAAAAATCAGTGCCTTTTAGGGGCTAGGGTGGGGATGTGGAATGACTACAAAGGGGCATGAGGGAAATTTGTGGGATGATGAGAGGAGTCTATGTATTGATGGTGTTGGTGGAGACACAACTATCTATATTTGTCAAGACACAGAATCCAAGAAAAGGAAAAGTCCCAAATATATCATACTGATTAAATGAATCTAGGATTAAAAGCCATTCTACAAAGCAAGCTATGGACCCAAAGACTTTCACCACTGAATGCTGTAAATAATTGGGAGAGAAATAATGCTAGGCTTAAATTTCTCAGCTTGTTTTATTAGGCCATCATAATTTTCCAGACCTTAGGAAGTGGGACCTGTCTAGTGAGAGCAACTGAGGAATGCTATGTGCTGCCCGGGGGGAGCCACATGGATGTTACCTGGGGACATGATGGCCTGGTGGGGGAGGAGCCAGCCACAGACCAGGAGAATGGCCAGGAACGGAGGCTAATGAGGAAGCCACTGTCATGCAGAAGCTGGAGCAGACTGATCAGCAGGGGCTGGGCCCACAGGACGTTATGCACTGATGAAAGTGAATCCATCAAGAAGATATACCAATTGTAAATATATACATATCTAATATCAGATCACCAAAGTATGTGAAACAAAAATGGACAGACATGAAGAAAGAAATAGACAGTTCTGGTTCTACAATAAGAGAGACATCAATGAGCCATTCTCTGTAATTAAAAAAAAAAAAAGAGGCCAGGCGCGGTGGCTCACGCCTGTAATCCCAGCATTTTGGGAGGCTGAGGTGGGAGGATCACAAGGTCAGGAGATCGAGACCATCCTGGCTAACATGGTGAAACCCCGTCTCTACTAAAAATACAAAAATTAGCCGGGCATGGTGGCAGCCGCCTGTAGTCCCAGCTACTTGGGAGGCTGAGGCAGGAGAATGGCGTGAACCCAGGAGGTGGAGCTTGCAGTGAGCCGATATCGTGCCACTGCACTCCAGCCTGGGTGACAGAGCAAGACTCTGTCTCAAAAAAAAAATTGATTAATTAATTAATTAAAAAAAAAAGAATTAAATTGACATTCAGTAAAGAAATAGAGGACTTGAAGAACCCCCTAAACAGGTCTAACGTAGATGCAGAAACATCCAACCCA